>NC_000002.12:115368405-115671436 GCF_000001405.40 Homo sapiens
ATATGCAAACTTTACAAATGTAAGATTCAGTATTATTTTACTTTCTATCAATTTAATGTATTTTAAAGTAGTCATCATCTTTTCCCAATGTATTATTTATTCCACATATTTGAAGCACCATATCATATCACACTTATCCTTAATTGTCTTCAGGTTTGCAGTATTTAAATTAAATCACTAATTCAAATTGAAAAATGAGAGGAACTATTAGTTTGTAGAAATGTACTTATTACTAGATTAAAGTGTGGCAATTCCAGTTTTTTCACGATCAAGTGACTATGTGGTATAATATGTTTTCATCAAAAGGCTGCATGTTATTATGAATTTTTAAAAGAGTGTGATAGTCGGCTCCTTTTTTAAATTTAATTTTAATTGAAATTAATTTTAATTTTAATTTTAATTTAATTTAATTTAATTCCAAAATATTTTCTTTAAATAAAATTTGACATCATCATAGAAAATTATATGATATCAACAAACTTCTTTTCTATGGTAATATTACTGTATGGTAAGTTTATATCTCATTATTTCTGTGATTGCTATCTGCGCTTTATTTTATTTTCTCAAGAAAATTGACCATTTTCACTAATAATATAATTTACTTTAAGTAAAGGATAGGCTCTGCATATATTAACAGAGTTGTTTGAGTTCCAGCTTTCATTGAAATGATTTCCTGAGAATTGATTGCATGCCGGATGCTAATCTTTACTACAATAGCTGAAAATTCACATTTCAATATATCTAACAGCAAATGATCAGACTGCTACCCAGACAGTGTGATTCATCTATAGCCATGTTAGGCTGAAAGTATAAATAAATCAATAACACACACTGGTGATAAGGAAATGTTCTCAAAAGTACATGAAAGAAAACAAGATTATTTCATAAACAAGTCTATATATTCACAACAAAGGAGAAAGTAGAAGTTTAGATTATTATAATAAAAAAGGCATCTGCTTTATGTATAATTAAATAGTTTTTCTATGAGTCTGTAAAAACTTTTACACGAATAATTGCCTTATTTTTCCTTTGTAGTTATGATTACTTAAATATCAATTTATTAAATGCCTGTCCTGTGCCACACCTATATTCAGTGTTAGAAAGATGAATGAGGGATTATAACTGAACTTAAGGGTGAGATAAAGCTGTGGGCAAATATTTCCAGTAAAATGTTTGGGTGTTACGTAATACTGGAAATCTGTTTAAGACAAGAAGTATAACAGCGGAAAGATGGACTTTCTGTGGTGGAGGCTTTACAAAGGAAGTAGAGCTTTAGTAGGGTTTTCAAGAATAAATAGAAAGTGTGAAATGACAAAGGATGGGCCAGAGACATTCCAGATTGAGGCAACAATAGTCTTCACAGTACAGATGTGGCCAGAGTGCTTTCTGCTCGGTATTTGAGAAATGTCTTATTTCTCTCTTCTATGATTCAATTTATTGGCTGATTATTCTGCCCAAGCCAAAAAATATGTATAACTTCTGTTTATGTTAATCCTTGTAAATCCATCTCTAATGCACAGAGAGCTGCACGTGGAAGAAAATGTGTTAGATCAGTTTTCAGATTTGACTGTACAAAAACTTGGGTTCTAAAGACATGTCTGTGGAGCTGTGGAAGGAAAAGCTGCATGAAGGCTTTCCTGATTCCCTGCTTCAACCAGAACAGTCTCACTTTAAATTGGTTTTAATATTGAGATTTCTCATTTGGAATAAACAAAAACATTGAATTGCAAAAAGAAAATATGTTTAACTGAAATCTCCTATCAAAGACAGCCTTGTGGTCGCTTTTCTTGTTTAATCTCTTGTAGATGACAGAAAAATTGAGAGCTTGTTTATAGACTTGGGAACACTTAGGCTTTGAAATCCATATTTACTTACTTGAAGGTCAGTCATTTTTGCCCCCTGATGATTTTAGAAAATGTCAGGGAAACAGGCACAGTAATTGATCATATTAGGATGGAGTGAATCCATGAAGAATTGACAGCTTGATCTCGAAAGCTGTAGTGTATGTATGAGGATTTGTAGAGAAGTAGAAAATAAGTAAAGGCCTGGAGAAAGCAGAGTAAACATAGAGTAGAACCTGTACAGAGTCAAGGACTGGTACACTGGTCTCAATTCTACTCTTTATAAACAAAATAAACAATGGAAAGTTACGGTTTAATTCCTGGATTACATGATGGTTAAAATGGAAGGATAGTTTTTAACAAGAAGGTACATTTAAACAAACAAGGACTCCAGGGTACTCAGATTCTTCATCTGCCTATTTTACTGTCTATTTCATCTATTTCTGGGAACATTATGTACAGAAAATATAAGATTAATCCAATTTTAGCATGTATCAGAATCACCTGGTGGATTTGTTAAAACATGAACTGGTAGGCCTTGTCCCTGGAATTTCTGATTCAGTAGGTTTGGGGTACGCGTTAAGTATTGGCATCTCTCGTTAAGCGCCAGGTGATGCTGCTAGTCCCAGAACTAACTCAGAGAATCACTGAGATAAACAAACTGTATAAATAAATTCCTGGAATTGAGTGTCTTCTTCAAATAAAAACAAAATAACTCCCATTTTTCTGCCCAAAGAGTTGTGAAGGCCTTTGTTATTGAAAACATTAAATGAATTGTTAAAAAATTAAAGGTTTAAACATTTTGCCTAAATGAATATTATAGTGCTGGCTACATTTATTTTAATGCATTTTTGGGGATCGTACAACATCTGCTACTGGTATTTCCCACAAAATTTGACCTGTGTTTCTTCAACTCTTAGGTTTACCTTAGTCTACAACTTTTGCTTTCACCCGCCCGTCATGTGAATTTTAAATTTTACATTTTGATTTTCAAGTTGAACTTTCATGTTGAACTGCTTATGCTTCTCAAATTGCTCCTTTTTCTGCAATTTAAGTATAATACAACTGGATGAAAGAAGGAGTCTCTTACAAAATGTAGCTCATAGCTCATAAAGATATTTGCAAACTCACCTTTTTTAAGAAACAACAAATGTAGGCTTTTCAATAAAATACGTGAACTTGAGCTCTTTATAAAACACCACTTGAAGATCATTGACTTTGAAACAAACTAATTTTACTTTATTGAATACCTTTTTCCCTTCTTCAAAGATTTCCAATGCTGTATATTGATTGTTCTGCCCTTTTCAATGTCATTTTGTTTTTCTTGCTGCAAAACCATACTCTGAGTTACTTAAATTGTATTTATCATTCCCAGTATTATTTTTTTCTTTAGCACAAACCCAAACTTATTAAGAATGCTGTGATGTTAATTTCAGAAGAGGATAGCACTAAAGGCAGAATAATTCTGATATCCAAATATTTTTATAAATAACATTTGAAAAACAGTATATATTTTGGTTTAGTCTACTATTAATAGAGGAAAGTTATAGGGAAACATATTTTGTTCTAATAAGAAAGAATATCTAAAAAAACAGAGCAGGAAATCAATTAAATAATTTGCTGATACTTTCATAAATGTCTTCAAATTATGTTGTGATTAATACTTATAAGAACTATTTTTCAGGAGGTTCCAGAATAGAGTGAGTGTTCATCTGAGAACTCATCTGATCCCCTTACAGTTCTAACAGGGACTTTATATGCTAATTTTTCTCCTAATGATGGTTTTCTATGTAATGTAACAAGTCTTAAAGTTTTCTTAAATATTCATGTATTAAAGTGTATAAAATTCCTTGGAGTGTTTTATTTTAGAGACTTTTTCATTAATAGATACAATTTTGTTGATTATAGTTTAAATGGAAGGGATATAAGTCAAAGAAATATTATTCTCAATATGAATTATGAAAGGAGAACAACTTTAAAAATACTTCATAATGAAGTAAGAAAAAGAGTACATGAAACATCTTTTGGGTTTAAAGATATGAACAAGTGATTTCTGGTGATTTTTTTCTTTTTAATTGCAAGTCTGTTTGGCTATTTCTTTGGCTTCTGAGCATCTCTTAAGAGAGTGAATGAAAAGGTAATCATTACCCTTTAGAGGTAAAAAAAGTCTCTGCAGGTTTCATAGAATCTATTTGATTTCAATAAGCATTAAAATGTGTTGTAATTTTGCAGGGTATCTCATTGAATGTAGAGCCAAGATTGATTCTGTTGAGAGCTCAACTAGATGAAAAACGTAGCCAGTATGAAACACTCTTAACTGGCTCACATCCTTGCAGTGGGACTATCACACACCCAGGCACCCTTACTTGCGGTAACTGGCTACTGATTCAGCAACTGAATGAGAGAAAAAGATTCTTAATGAACCTGGATCAGAGACCAGATTGCTGACCAGCTCCTGGAGTTAATAATCCATCATATGAAGTAAACACATAACCATCACTGAAGTTAGAGTAATGTAAGCGTTGCACCTGACAGCAGTATGGTGTAGGGAGAATGAGTGCAGTTATTCCTGGCAGGTTTGTACTGGAATCTTAGCCTAGATCTTTACTTTGACTTTATGCCAATTATTTAACTTGCTTTTGTCACTGAAAATAGAAACACAATCAAGACATAATATCTACCTTCCCTCAAGGAATTTATGGAAAACATAGTCAGTTGTTGATGCTGTCAAGTTATTGATATTGTGATAAATATTATGCACAATTACAATAGAGGTTTGTAGAGCTACGGTAAGAATAGTATAGTCTGCCCTTGGAAGCCACAGGAGGGTTGCCTAATGAAAGAGATCAGGGAAAGTTTCCTGGAGGATGGGACATCTTAGCTGAACATAGTAGGAAAAGTAGAAGCAATAGCTCTTTAGTAAATATGCATTCAGTGCTTGTCTCTTACATGTCAAACACTCAGATAATAACAACATAAATGAACTGTTTAGTAGGACAATTCCAATGCAATAGAAAATCTTACTATGCATCTTCCTTCAGACGAGAACATAGATGTTTAGGGAGGTCTTATAAGATCATTCCTTGTACAGTGCCTTGAAGCTGAGTGGGGAGTCAAAGTTAACATTTATCTAACCCTGTGTAGTGCTCTACAGAATGTTAGAATAGTAGATTTGAAAGTCTTTTCTATTAAGATTATATTGAAGCTTTGGAAATGAATGAGAATGCTAATTGATCATAGGATGAAGGGGAAAGAAATCTGAGCATATATTATACCAGAGGGATTCCCTTCCCATAGGAAGTAAGAATATGAAAAAGGAGCTCAAAAAATAAGTGGAAAAACTCGAAAAAGGAAGAATGTTTTCAAAAGAGCATAGTCAATAGGAGTAGATAGTCCATAAGTTAAAATGGTAATAAAGTTCTGATGGATTTATCCTTTTGCAATTTACTAGTTGTATTCATCCATTCTCATGTTGCTACAAATAACCACCTGAGACTGGGTAGTTCAGGAAGAAAAGAGGTTTCATTGACTCACAGTTTCACAGGCTTAACAGGAATCATGACTGTGAGGCTTCAGGAAACTTACAATTCGGGCAGAAAATGAAGGGGAAGCAAGCATGTCTCACCATAGCCAAGCAGAAGAGAGAGAGAGAGAGAGAGTGAAATGGGGCATGCCAAACATTTTTAAACCATCAGATCTTGTGAGAACTTACTCACTATCATGAGAAAAACAAGGCGGATATCTGCCCCCATGTTCCAGTCACCTCCCACCAGGCCTCTCTTGCAACACATGGAGATTACAATTCAACATGAAATTTGGGTGGGGACACAGAGCCAAACCGTATCTTTCTGCCACTGGGTCCTCTTAAATCTCATGTCCTTCTCACATTTCAAAACCAATCATGCCTTCCAAACAATCCCCCAGTGTCTTAACTCATTCCAGGAATAACTCAAAAGTTCAAGTCCAAGGCAAATCCCTTCCACCTAGGAGTTACTTCTAAGATACAATGGAGGTACAGGCATTGTGCAAATACTCCCATTCCAAGTGGGAGGAGACATGGATCTCCTTTGATTCCATGTCTCACATCCAGGCCACACTGATACAAGAAGTGGGCTCCCAACATCTTGGGCTGCTCTTCCCCTGTGGCTCTGCAGGATACAGCCCTTTGGCTGCTTTCATAGGCTGGCAATGAGTGCCTGTGGCTTTTCCAGGTGCATGGTGCGTGCTGTTGGTGGGCCTAGCATTCTGGGGTCTGGAGGACAGTGGTCTTTTTCTCACAGCTCCACCAGGCAGTGCCCCAGTGGAGACTGTATGGGTGTTCCAGCCTCACATTTGCCTTCTGCACTGCCTTAGGAGAGGTTTTCCATGAGGGCTCCGCACATGCAGCATACTTCTGCCTGGACATCCAGGCGTTTCCATATGTCATCTGAAATCCAGACAGAGGTTCCCAAACTTCATCTCTTGTCTTCTGCACACCTGCAGGCCCAACACCATGTGGAAGCCACCAAGACTTGAGGCTTGCACCCTCTGAACCAATGATCTGAGCTGTACATTGGTTTCTTTTAGCTATGGATAAAACTGGAGTGCTGGGATGTAGGGTGCCACGTTCCAAGGCTGCACAGAGCAGCTGGCCCTTGGGCCTGGCCCAGGAAACAAATTTTTACCTGCTAGGCCTCTGGGCCTGTGATGGGAGGGGCTATTGTGAAGATCTCTGACATGCCCTGAAGACATTTTTCTCCATTGTCTTGGCTGTTAACATTTGGCTTCTCTTCACTTATGCAAAGTTCTGCAGGTAGCTTGAATTTCTTCCAAGAAAATGGGTTTTTCTTTTCTACTATATGGTCAGGTCACAAATTTCCCAAACTTTTATGCTCTTTTTCCCTTTTAAACAGAAGTTCTAATTTCAGACCATCTCTCAGGAAGGCATATGACTGTATGCTGTTAGGAGCATCCAGGTCACATCTTGAACGATTTGCTGCTTAGAAGTTTCTTCCAATAGATATCCTAAATAATCTCTCTCAAGTTGAAAGTTTCACAGATCCCTAGAGCATAGCACAGTGCTGCCAGTCTCTTTGCTAAAATATAGCAAGAGTGACCTTTGCTCCAGTAACCAGTAAGTTCCTCATTTCCACCTGAGATGACCTCAGCCTGGAATTCATTATCTGCATCACTATCACCCTTTTGGTGGAAACAATTAAACAAGTATCTGGGAAGTTCCAAACTGTACCACATCTTCCTTTCTTCTTCTGACCCCTCCAAATTGCTCCAGCTTCTGCCTGTTTCCCAGTTCCAAAGTCACTTCCACATTTTCAGGTATCTTTATAGCAGTCTCCCACTCTGCTGGTACCAATTTTCTGTATTAGTTTGTTCTCACACTGCTATAAAGATCTACCTGAGACTGGATAATTTATGAAGAAAAGAGGTTTAATTGAATCACAGTTCCACAGGCTTAACACAAATCATGACTGGAAGATGTCAGGAAACTTGCAATTATAGCAGAAGGTGAAGGAGAAGCACACGTCTTACCATGGTGGAGTGCAAGAGAGAGAGCAAGGGCGCAGTTTTAAACCATCAGAACTCATGAGAACTCACTATGATGAAAACAACAAGAAGAAAATCCACACCCATGATCCAGTCACCTCCCATCAGACCCATTCCCCAACATGGGGGGATTACAATTTGACATGAGATTAAGGTGGGGACACAGAACCAAACCATGTCACTAGTAGTGCTTGGTATAAGAATATTCATTAGGCTGTTGAGTGTTAAAGCCCAGAAATGAGGCATTAGTGGGTGAATGTTGAAAGCGGGAGCTGATGCAGTAAATTTAGCCCACTCTTGCTAAAATTGTCTTGGTGGAGCTATAGATGGAGGCAGCAAGGTATAAAACAAATATTCATTTGTCTGCTTGTTTGTTTGAAGACTAGAGACTTTTTAAGGAATTGCTTCTCTTGTTATTGTTAAACCATTTTGTTATAAATTTTATGAGATCTAATGGGAATGGTAATATACAGCCTAGAATACGAATTTCAAAATTATAAATATAATGATTGAATGTTATGTATGAACACTCAGAAGAATTTTGAGTTTTGCCCTTCATGTTAGGAAAAGGTGTAATTTCACAATATTCCCTTCAAAGATTAAAAAGACTGGGTTTAGAGTATTGTATTACCAAGTGGAGGGATAATCTTTTTTTTTCCCTTTCCTTTTGTGCTGCTCTTCCAAGATGGCATTCAGAATTTGAATTTCACCAGTGGACACTTGTTGATTCTAATAGTCCCTTTCTTTTTTTTTTTAAATTTTATTTATTTATTATTATTATACTTTAAGTTTTAGGGTACATGTGCACAATGTGCAGGTTAGTTACAGATGTATACATGTGCCATGCTGGTGCGCTGCACCCACTAACTCGTCATCTAGCATTAGGTATATCTCCCAATGCTATCCATCCCCCCTCCCCCCACCCCACAACAGTCCCCAGAGTGTGATGTTCCTCTTCCTGTGTCCATGTGTTCTCATTGTTCAATTCCCACCTATGAGTCAGAATATGTGGTGTTTGGTTTTTTGTTCTTGCGATAGTTTACTGAGAATGATGATTTCCAATTTCATCCATGTCCCTACAAAGGACATGAACTCATCATTTTTTATGGCTGCATAGTATTCCATGGTGTATATGTGCCACATTTTCTTAATCCAGTCTATCATTGTTGGACATTTGGGTTGGTTCCAAGTCTTTGCTATTGTGAATAATGCCACAATAAACATACATGTGCATGTGTCTTTATAGCAGCATGATTTATAGTCCTTTGGGTATATACCCAGTAATGGGATTGCTGGGTCAAATGGTATTTCTAGTTCTAGATCCTGGAGGAGTCGCCACACTGACTTCCACAATGGTTGAACTAGTTTACAGTCCCACCAACAGTGTAAAAGTGTTCGTATTTCTCCACATCCTCTCCAGCACCTGTTGTTTCCTGACTTTTTAATGATTGCCATTCTAACTGGTGTGAGATGGTATCTCATTGTGGTTTTGATTTGCATTTCTCTGATGGCCAGTGATGGTGAGCATTTTTTCATGTGTTTTTTGGCTGCATAAATGTCTTGTTTTGAGAAGTGTCTGTTCATGTCCTTCACCCACTTTTTGATGGGGTTGTTTGTTTTTTTCTTGTAAATTTGTTTAAGTTCATTGTACATTCTGGATATTAACCCTTTGTCAGATGAGTAGATTGCAAAAATTTCCTCCCATTCTGTAGGTTGCCTGTTCACTCTGATGGTAGTTTCTTTTGCTGTGAAGAAGCTCTTTAGTTTAATTAGATCCCATTTGTCAATTTTGTCTTTTGTTGCCATTGCTTTTGGTATTTTAGACATGAAGTCCTTGCCCATGCCTATGTCCTGAATGGTAATGCCTAGGTTTTCTTCTAGGGTTTTTATGGTTTTAGGTTTATCGTTTAAGTCTTTAATCCATCTTGAATTGATTTTTGTATAAGGTGTAAGGAAGGGATCCAGTTTCAGCTTTCTACATATGGCTAGCCAGTTTTCCCAGCACCATTTATTAAATAGGGAATCCTTTCCCCATTGCTTGTTTTTGTCAGGTTTGTCAAAGATCAGATAGTTGCAGATATGTGGCATTATTTCTGAGGGCTCTGTTCTGTTCCATTGGTCTATATCTCTGTTTTGGTACCAGTACCATGCTGTTTTGGTTACTGTAGCCTTGTAGTATAGTTTGAAGTCAGGTAGTGTGATGCCTCCAGCTTTGTTCTTTTGGCTTAGGATTGACTTGGCGATGCGGGCTGTTTTTTGGTTCCATATGAACTTTAAAGTAGTTTTTTCCAATTCTGTGAAGAAAGTAATTGGTAGCTTGATGGGGATGGCATTGAATCTGTAAATTACCTTGGGCAGTATGGCCATTTTCACGCTATTGATTCTTCCTACCCATGAGCATGGAATGTCCTTCCATTTGTTTGTATCCTCTTTTATTTCATCGAGCAGTGGTTTGTAGTTCTCCTTGAAGAGGTCCTTCACATCCCTTGTAAGTTGGATTCCTAGGTATTTTATTCTCTTTGAAGCAATTGTGAATGGGAGTTCACTCATGATTTGGCTCTCTGTTTGTCTGTTGTTGGTGTATAAGAATGCTTGTGATTTTTGTACATTGATTTTGTGTCCTGAGACTTTGCTAAGTTGCTTATCAGCTTAAGGAGATTTTGGGCTGAGACAATGGGGTTTTCTAGATATAGAATCATGTCATCTGCAAACAGGGACAATTTGACTTCCTCTTTTCCTAATTGAATACCCTTTATTTCCTTCTCCTGCCTAATTGCCCTGGCCAGAACTTCCAACACTATGTTGAATAGGAGTGGTGAGAGAGGACATCCCTGTCTTGTGTCAGTTTTCAAAGGGAATGCTTCCAGTTTTTGCCCATTCAGTATGATATTGGCTGTGGGTTTGTCATAGATAGCTCTTATTATTTTCAAATACATCCCATCAATCCCTAATTTATTGAGATTTTTAGCATGAAGCGTTGTTGAATTTTGTCAAAGGCCTTTTCTGCATCTATTGAGATAATCATGTGGTTTTTGTCTTTGGTTCTGTTTATATGCTGGATTACTTTTATTGATTTGCATATATTGAACCAGCCTTGCATCCCAGGGATGAAGCCCACTTGATCATGGTGGATAAGCTTTTTGATGTGCTGCTGGATTTGGTTTGCCACTATTTTATTGAGGATTTTTGCATCAATGTTCATCAAGGATATTGGTCTAACATTCTCTTTTTTGGTTGTTTCTCTGCCCGGCTTTGGTATCAGGATGATGCTGGCCTCATAAAATGAGTTAGGGAGGATTCCCTCTTTTTCTATTGATTGGAATAGTTTCAGAAGGAATGGTACCAGTTCCTCCTTGTACCTCTGGTAGAATTCAGCTGTGAATCCATCTGGTCCTGGACTTTTTTTGGTAGGTAAGCTATTGATTATTGCCACAATTTCAGATCCTGTTATTGGTCTATTCAGAGATTCAGCTTCTTCCTGGTTTAGTCTTGGGAGAGTGTATGTGTCGAGGAATTTATCTATTTCTTCTAGATTTTCTAGTTTATTTGTGTAGAGTTGTTTGTAGTATTCTCTGATGGTAGTTTGTATTTCTGTGGGATCGGTGGTGATATCCCCTTTATCATTTTTTATTGCGACTATTTGATTCTTCTCTCTTTTTTTGTTTATTAGTCTTGCTAGCGGTCTGTCAATTTTGTTGATCCTTTCAAAAAACCAGCTCCTGGATTCATTGATTTTTTGAAGGGTTTTTTGTGTCTCTATTTCCTTCAGTTCTGCTCTGATTTTAGTTATTTCTTGCCTTCTGCTAGCTTTTGAATGTGTTTGCTCTTGCTTTTCTAGTTCTTTTAATTGTGATGTCAGGGTGTCAATTTTGGATCTTTCCTGCTTTGTCTTGTGGGCATTTAGTGCTATAAATTTCCCTCTACACACTGCTTTGAATGCGTCCCAGAGATTCTGGTATGTTGTGTATTTGTTCTCGTTGGTTTCAAAGAACATCTTTATTTCTGCCTTCATTTCATTATGTACCCAGTAGTCATTCAGGAGCAGGTTCTTCAGTTTCCATGGAGTTGAGCGGTTTTGAGTGAGATTCTTAATCCTGAGTTCTAGTTTGATTGCACTGTGGTCTGAGAGATAGTTTGTTATAATTTCTGTTCTTTTACATTTGCTGTGGAGAGCTTTACTTCCAAGTATGTGGTCAATTTTGGAATCGGTGTGGTGTGGTGCTGAAAAAATATATATTCTGTTCATTTGGGGTGGAGAGTTCTGTAGATGTCTATTAGGTCCACTTGGTGCAGAGTTGAGTTCAATTCCTTGGTATCCTTGTTGACTTTCTGTCTCGTTGATCTGTCTAATGTTGACAGTGGGGTGTTAAAGTCTCTCATTATTAATGTGTGGGAGTCTAAGTCTCTTTGTAGGTCACTCAGGACTTGCTTTATGAACATGGGTGCTCCTGTATTGGGTGCATATATATTTAGGATAGTTAGCTCTTCTTGTTGAATTGATCCCTTTACCATTATTTAATGGCCTTCTTTGTCTCTTTTGATCTTTGTTGGTTTAAAGTATGTTTTATCAGAGACTAGGATTGCAGCCCCTGCCTTTTTTTGTTTTCCATTTGCTTGGTAGATCTTCTTCCATCCTTTGGTTTTGAGCCTATGTGTGTCTCTGCATGTGAGATGGGTTTCCTGAATACAGCACACTGATAGGTCTTGACTCTTTATCCAGTTTGCCAGTCTGTGTCTTTTAATTGGAGCATTTAGTCCATTTACATTTAAAGTTAATATTGTTATGTGTGAATTTGATCCTGTCATTATGATGTTAGCTGGTTATTTTGCTCGTTAGTTGATGCAGTTTCTTCCTAGTCTCGATGGTCTTTACATTTTGGCATGATTTTGCAGTGGCTGGTACCAGTTGTTCCTTTCCATGTTTAGTGCTTCCTTCAGGAGCTCTTTTAGGGCAGGCCTGGTGGTGACAAAATCTCTCAGCATTTGCTTGTCCGCAAAGTATTTTATTTCTCCTTCACTTATGAAGCTTAGTTTGGCTTGATATGAAATTCTGGGTTGAAAATTCTTTTCTTTAGGAATGTTGAATATTGGCCCCCACTCTCTTCTGGCTTGTAGAGTTTCTGCCTAGAGATCCGCTGTTAGTCTGATGGGCTTCCCTTTGAGGGTAACCTGACCTTTCTCTCTGGCTGCCCTTAACATTTTTTCCTTCATTTCAACTTTGGTGAATCTGACAATTATGTGTCTTAGAGTTGCTCTTCTCGTGGAGTATCTTTGTGGCATTCTCTGTATTTCCTGAATCTGAATGTTGGCCTGCCTTGCTAAATTGGGGAAATTCTCCTGGATAATATCCTGCAGAGTATTTTCCAACTTGGTTCCATTCTCCCCGTCACTTTCACGTACACCAATCAGTCGTAGATTTGGTCTTTTCCCTTAGTCCCATATTTCTTGGAGGCTTTGCTCGTATCTTTTTATTCTTTTTTCTCTAAGCTTCCCTTCTCACTTCATTTCATTCATTTCATCTTCCATCACTAATACCCTTTCTTCCAGTTGATCGCGTCGGCTCCTGAGGCTTCTGCACTCTTCACGTAGTTCTCCAGCCTTGGTTTTCAGCTCCATCAGCTCCTTTAAGCACTTCTCTGTATTGGTTATTCTAGTTATACATTCTTCTAAATTTTTTTCAAAGTTTTCAACTTCTTTGCCTCTGCTTTGAATGTCCTCCCATAGCTCGGAGAAATTTGATCGTCTGAAGCCTTCTTCTCTCAGCTTGTCAAAGTCATTCTCCGTCCAGCTTTGTTCCATTGCTGGTGAGGAACTGCGTTCCTTTGGAGGAGGAGAGACGCTCTGCTTTTTAGAGTTTCCAGTTTTTCTGCTCTGGTTTTTCCCCATCTTTGTGGTTTTATCTACTTTTGGTCTTTGATGATGGTGATCTACAGGTGGGTTTTTGGTGTGGATGTCCTTTCTGTTTGTTAGTTTTCCTTTTAACAGACACAACCCTCAGCTGCAGGTCTGTTGGAGTACCCGGCCCTGTGAAGTGTCAGTCTGCCCCTGCTGGGGGGTGCCTCCCAGTTAGGCTTCTCGGGGGTCAGGGGTCAGGGACCCACTTGAGGAGGCAGTCTGCCCGTTCTCAGATCTCCAGCTGCGTGCTGGGAGAACCACTGCTCTCTTCAAAGCTGTCAGACAGGGACATTTACGTCTGCAGAGGTTACTGCTGTCTTTTTGTTTGTCTGTGCCCTGCCCCCAGAGGTGGAGCCTACAGAGGCAGGCAGGCCTCCTTGAGCTGTGGTGGGCTCCACCCAGTTCAGTTGGAGCTTCCCGGCTGCTTTGTTTACCTAAGCAAGCCTGGGCAATGGCGGGCGCCCCTCCCCCAGCCTCACTGCCACCTTGCAGTTTGATCTCAGACTGCTGTGCTATCAATCAGCGAGACTCTGTGGGCATAGGACCCTCTGAGCCATGTGCGGGATATAATCTCCTGGTGTGCTGTTTTTTAAGCCCTTTGGAAAAGTGCAGTATTAGGGTGGGAGTGACCTGATTTTCCAGGTGCCGTCTGTCACCCCTTTCTTTGACTAGGAAAGGGAACTCCCTGACCCCTTGCACTTCCTGAGTGAGGCAATGCCTCGCCCTGCTTCGGCTCGCGCACAGTGCGCGCACCCACTGACCTGCACCCACTGTCTGGCACTTCCTATTGAGATGAACCTGGTACCTCAGATGGAAATGCAGAAATCACTGGTCTTCTGCATCTCTCACCCTGGGAGCTGTAGACTGGAGCTGTTCCTATTCGGCCATCTTCTAATAGTCTCTTTCCAGTGCTATCTCTGTGTCTAGCTAAGAAAATAGGTCTCTTCCTAGAAAATTGCTTTTAATGAAGGAGAGGTATGAGGTAAAAGTAGGGACATTTTGCTGTCAGGCAGAGCTTGAGTTGGATGTATAAAAAAAGAGCTGGAATAGTTTTTCCCTTATTGCCACTTTCCATTTACATTTGTTCCCACCATTCAATTATTCTTTTTAAAAAGGCTAGAGGAAGTGATGGAAAAACTGAAGATAATAAAGACACAAAATGCTGAGGATGGATATTTGTGAAAATACATAATAGCAACCAATTGTGGGGCAGGAGGGAAGTCAGAGAACGCTGGGGTCTGTCTCTCCTACTCTGCCACAGCATTTTTGAAGCAGCATTTAGTAATTTCTGCACAGGGGGTGCCATACTTAGACAACTCCTTATGATTTTTCAATTTCTCATTATCTTCAAGAAGTGTTCCAGAAAAGAATCTAGAAGGAACACTATCAAAGATAATGGGTTACAGTTTTCCACAATGGGTAAATAGCCTGAGTTTTCAGATTAAAGAATCACACTGAATATTGAGTGATGATGTGGTTTGGCTGTGTACCCACCCAAATCTCATCTTGAATCCCCGTGTGTTGTGGGAGGTTCCTGGTGGGAAGTAATTAAGTTGTGGGGGCAGGTCTTTCCGATGCTGTTCTCATGATAGTGAATAAGTCTCACAAGATATGATGGTTTTATACAGGGGAGTTTCCCTGCACAAGCTCTCTTCTCTTGTCTGCCACCATGTGAGACATGCCTTTCACTTTCTGCCATGATTGTGAGTCCTCCCCAGCCATGTGGAACTGTGCATGCATTAAACCTCTTACTTTTGTAAATTGCCCAGTCTTGGGTATGCCTTTATCAGCAGCATGAAAATGGACTAATAGAAGTGGGATTTTTACAAATTCAGTTAGATGACCCAGAAATCCTCTTTTGCATAAATTAGTTTTATCTGGTTTTCTGCCATTTCAGACTTTGCTAAGCTAGTCTTCCTGAGAAATGTCCTAATTTTTACTCACCAATTGTCTGTGGATACCTCTGTTTTGCACACCATGGTCAATTCATATTCATTTAAATATATTTAATAATTTGATTTATAATGTGTTTCTTATGCATTTAAATATATTTAATAATTTGATTTTTAATGTGTATCTCTTATATAATAATGATTTTGAGCATAATAAAATAGATTACTCTTTCTTTCTTGTTCCAACATTTGATTCTTGCATTAGCTACAAAAAGTTAGTTGAGATTATTTCTCAGCAATGTAGAGCTACTTTGCTGAAAGACTGCTGTATCTTTTTAAAAACTTAATCCAAAGAAACCAATAGATCATAAGAAATAACCAAATATAAAGTATCTGTCTAACCAATAGACAAACCTAATTAGAATACTGCCTGCATGCTTATGTAAGTGTTGGCATTCAGAAAACAATACCCCAAAGTATGTTGCTTTGGCATGCTGAGCAGTTTAAACTAAAAGAGATTGAAGTCACCTCAGATATAAAATCTTTCTCCCATCTCCTGCTCTCCTGTCTTCTGCTCCTCTTTCTCCCTCAAAGAAAGTCATAGAAACCAGAGTTCCTCTTATGCAAGGTGAGGCATAAAAACTAGAACCCAGTCCAGGCAGGTTGGCTCACACCTGTAATCCCAGAACTTGGGGAGGTCAAGATGGGAAGATCACTGGAGACTAGGAGTTCAAGGCTGCAGTGAGCTATGATCACATGACTGCACTCCAGCCTAGATAACAGAGCAAGATCCTGTCTCAGAAAAGCAGAAGCAGAAGCAGAAGAAGGAGAAGGAGAAGAAGAAGAAGAAGAAGGAGAAGAAGAAGAGGAGGAAGAAGAAGAAGGAAGAAGAAGGAAGAAGAAGGAAGAAGAAGAAGAAGAGGAAAAGAAGAAGAAGAAGGAAGAAGAGGAAGAAGAAGAAAGAAGAAGAAGGAAGAAGAAGAGGAAGAAGAAGAAGAAGAGGAAGAGGAGGAAAAGGAAGAAGGAGGAAGAAGAAGTGAAGGAAGAAGAAGAGGAAGAAGAAAGAAGGAAGAAGAAGAAGGAAGAAGAAGAAGAAGGAAGAAGAAGAGGAAGAAGAAGAAAAAGAAAGAAGAAAGAAGAAGAAGAAGAAGAAGAAGAAGAGAAGAAGGAAGAAAGAAGAAAAGAAGAACCTGCAACTCTTCTGCCCCAAAGCAAGTGGTGAAACATAGAAAGGTCACTGGTATGGTTTGGCTCTTTTCTCCACCCAAATCTCATCTTGAATTTTACTCCCGTAATTCCCACATATTGTGGGAGGGACCCAGTGGGAGATAATTTGAATCCTGGTGGTGGTTTCCCCCATACTATTCTTGTGGTAGTGAATAAGTCTCATAAGATCTGATAGGTTCATCAGGGATTTTTGTTTTGCATCTTTCTCATTTTATCTTGCTGCCACCATGTAAGAAGTGCCTTTCACCTCCTGCCATTATTCTGAGATCTCCCCAGCCGTCTGTAACTGTAAGTCCAATTAAACCTCTTGTTCTCCCCATTCTCAGTTATGTCTTTATCAGCAACATGAAAACGGACTAATACAGTCACTTTCTCCATTTTCTTGTCTCCCTTGAGGATCCTCATTCCGGAGGGGTCCTGCCCCATACCTGGGAGGAAGGAGTGCTATACAGAGAGGCCAAGATGAATCTGAAGAGAGGCCTCACTGAGTCCTTCTTCAGTCGATCACCGTTAGACCAATCCCTTTTGTTCAATCATATTTCTGTCTTTCTTTTTTTTTTTTTTTTAAATCAAGACAGAGTTTCGCTCTTGTCGCCCAGGCTGGAGTGCAGTGGCACAATCTTGCCTCACTGCAACCTCTGCCTCCTGGGTTCAAACAATTCTCCTGCCCCAGCCTCCTGAGTAGCTGGGATTACAGGCGCCCGCCACCATGCTCGGCTAATTTTTTGTGTTTTTAGTAGAGCTGGGGTTTTACCATGTTGGCCAGGCTGTTCTTGAACTCCTGACATCAGGTAATCCTCCTGCCTCAGCTTCCCAAAGTGCTGGGATTATAAGCATGAACCACCACGCCCAGCCTGTTTAATCAGATTTCTATAGAGCTGTCCATTCTTCACTAAACCAAAGCATAAATGCAATTTTTCCTGAGTCTTTGAGTTTTTATTTCTGACAGCTTCCCTGTCACATAAAACTTTGATTTGAAAAATTTGGTAAGCTTTTATCTTCCTAATCTGTCTTTTGCTATAAGAGTATGACTGTGATTCTTATCATGGGTGAGGAAAGGTATCACATCTTTCCACTCCTACATAAGGTATGATATACATTTTCCTCTTTGGTAAACAAAATTTCCGAAAGACAAGCAAATGGACTGTAATGATATTCTATGACTATACCACTTGGGAGCAAAGTTGGCCATATAGGAAAGGCTGAATATTAGGATTTATTAAATTTATTTTTAAGTGTTTTAATTCTGTGGAATAATTGGTGTTTAGGCAATTTATATACCTTATATTAATCACTCATAAATCTCCTAGAAAATTAATTTTATTAGACAAACTTTATAAAGGAGGAAAGAGTAATTAAAATACTATTAATGAAAAGGATCAAGTGAACAAGATAAGCAAACTTTGTTTCCTCTGCCCCAAGTCAAACTAAAATATTCTGTGTTATAAAAAGAGTATAGGGGAGGGAAAATTTTCTTTATCTTGTATCCATATTAGGTTCATCAGGGCTCTAGACAGAGAAAAGGCAGATTAACAAGAGAAAAATAAACAGAACTTTATTGACACATGCATCACTCTTACCTGTGAGAGCACTCAGTGATGCGAGCACTCAGTGATGAGTGATGATGGTTAGAACCTAAGCTTATAAAGCATCTTAGCAAAACAATCATTGTTGTGTAGGGAAATGACAAGACAAAAGAAAAGGATTTTGAGCTTCTAGGGGCAGCATGTTGTGGGAAGGCAAATATGTAAGGAAACTAACCATAGATAATGGTCAGTTAATAAAGTTTCTTTTGTTGATTCCTCTGCTGCTATCTCAAGTTGATAAGGGTCTAAAGTTGTCTCAAGAGATTAGCTTCTATCCTTCCTGGTAGAGAGAGGAGGGGGGCGCTGTTACACATCTGTCTCTTCTTTGGCAAAGAGGAAGGACAGAGGTTTTCCTTAAATATGCTGCTTCTCAATTTCATTCCTCTCACAATAATCCTTATGCCAAAGTGGCATATTTCGGGGGTGACATATATTGTTACCCTTTAATAAATTCATGCTGCAATATGTTTATAATAATCAGTACATATTTGTTCATTACTTTTTAAGTACTCAGTAAAAAAAAAAAAAACTGTAAGAATATTAAAATATGAAGGGCAAAATGCCTCCCTTTAAAGAGTGCTAAATTCAGCTGTGGAGCTAAACATATATATCTTAAGATATGTCAGTATGTATCTTTCTTTTCCGTTTTGAATGAAAAATTTCAACATATGATGAAGTAGAGAGGGATGAGATGAGATCTCTGCAGGTCCTGGGTCTGTGGTGCTTATGAACATTTTCCTCCTTTGCCTGGCCCTTCTGTGCTCTGAGGAGGGGGAGGCTGACCCCTTCACCTGTGTTTTTCAGCACCACCCCCACACTTGTTTCTAGCAATAGAAGGCTCCAATGGAGATGGGGGTGAGGGGGCAAGAGAATCCTTAGCGTGTTTCTCCCTCTGTTTCAGAGCTTTTAGCTTCAAACAACATGTTAACATCTGGCCTTAGTTGCTACAACAACTTATTTTTAGTTTTAGTTTTCCTTTAACAATTGAAAAGAAATTACAGAGATTTACTATAAATTTCTCAGTAGGCATCTGGAAAAAAATTAAGATATTGTCCTCATAACCAAACTATTATTATCATATCAAAGCAAAGTAGCAGGATTTCCTTTGAACTCTGTTTTAGTTTTTTAAAATTCCTAACTCTCCTACAATTCTGTTTATAATTGATATATTTGAATCCCAGTCTAAAGAAAGTAAAGATCCCAGTCACATTGAAGTATATTTTATGCAATTGGTACATTCTTATTTTAAAATAATGTTATTGTTTATCTGAAATTCAAACTTAATTGGGTATGTAATGTTTTTATTCATTAGATTTAGGAGTCATAGCCATGTTTCACTTGGTTATTGTGCTTTTATAGGTCATAGGTAAAATACAAGCCCTGGGTCAGTGGCTAAAGGTAAATATGATGAGCTAATGAAGCTCACATTATAATTTACTGGAGCTCACGTTATAATTGATGGTAATAAACAGGCAATACACAATTAAATCAACAATATGTTGATAAGTGCTGTAAACAGAGAAAAAAAAGTAGATGTGACAATGGTAAATGTGCACTGGGAGGTCAGGGACAACTTCTCTGGTGACCAAGTGACATTGCCCTGACAGCTAACTTACAGAAAGCACCTACACATGTGCAAATATTATGCTTCACCTTCAAAGGTTAAAAAATATATATGACGTAAAGTTTCTATGAAAGCCAAATTATAGGTCACATCACTTTTTCATTCTCAGAAGAAGCGATTGAAAATGTAAACCCCGTGAGGTGGGAATGCATGTAGTCTACTCAGCAAATGTAAAAAACTGAATATAAGATTTTGATTTGTAGGGTATCTTGAGTAAACTAGAAGGGTATTTTGAGATAAAGTCAAAGAGGTAGATAGGTGCCATGTTATTTAAAGGCTTTTATGACATAAGGTGGAAATTGGATTTTATTCTACGCGTGCTGAGAAGCTTAAATATAGGAGAATTAGATGAAACTGATTCCTCTTGCAGGAGAGCCACCTGGCTGCAGAAGATTGTCAGAGATCAAGGGTAGGAGCCTTGGGCTGGTTAGCAGGGCATGATTATAGTAAGTCAGGTGAGAGATGTAGGTGGTTCCCACCAGAGTTGTAGCAGTGGAGATAGAAGAGGGATGGATTTGGAATGCTGCTTGGACAAATACTTCCTGGCCCTCTAGGGTGATTCAACTAGCTCTGCTTGCTTTTTCTTTATATTTGCAAAAGAATTGTGAGTGAACTTGTATCACAACATCTAAAATGCTATATTAACTTTCCTGATTATGTTGTTTTTTTCTCCTACTAGACTATAAACCCCTTGATGACAAAAATAGTGTGCATTTCACAGCATCTTGCTCATATTCAGTGCTCAGTGCATTCTGGAGAGGAAGTAATTTAATGAGATTTTAGTTTACATTCCACAAAGAATTTCCAATGAATGTGGCTTCTACAATCCTGTTAATTAAAAGGATTGCAACAATAGTCCAAAAAATACACATGATATGTAATCTGGCTATTATAGAAACTTTAAACGCTATTCTTTTAACTTTGAAGGTTAAGCTTGGTTCAAGAGCTGCCTGGAATCACAGCAAAAGTAATAAAACACACAAGTTTTTAGCCTCTTTAAGGGAAAATACATATAACTTCTCCAACTTTCCTTTACCAAATCATATGACTGATATTGAACTATTCTTTTCTCCTTTGCTGCTTTTGCAATCAAAACCACTCCCATTATCTTGGTAAAGAATGTATTCTATGATTCCTTGACTCCTATAAGCTTAATGACATCAGCTTTTAAAATGTTGACAGAACAAACAAAGTGCACACAGCTGCAACATTCCCTCTGCCTGCAGTTAGGTGCTTTTATGCTTTTACTAAACACACACACACACAAACACACACACACACACACACACTCATACTCATTCTACTTCATTTCAATTTGAACTACATGTGGCTTACTACGTCTCAGTTAATGGCAAGCAACATAACTTGTTGGCTTTTATAAAAGTTAATTATTACTTGTATATTAATTTGTTTAATTTTGTTTGCCCCTAAACACTCTGAGAAGGAATCATTGCTATTTTGTTAGATTTTCTGCTACCTCTCACATGAGCCTGATACTTGGATTTCCATTTTTTAATGAATAAGTAACCGATGTAATGAACTAAATAATAACCTTGTTGAACCTAATGTTATGAAGTCAAGTGTGTTTGTCACCCAAAGAATTTTAAGTGGCTGGATGGTGAGAAGAGTCCCGTTAGAGTAATGCCCATGAATTATAACACCCACTAGCAGCAAAACAACACGTGCATTCTAGAGTGGCTCAACCTAATGCGTGAGGCATTTGGGAAACTCTTGAGAACATACTCACAAAAGAGTAGTATTCAGTTTATGATTATTTATCTTAGAGCCTCTTTGTGATTACTTATTTGGTAAATATATCAATTTATAGAATTATTCAACCTGGCTTCTCTATAATTATTAATTCATTATTTAGCATTCCCATTTGTTGTAAAATACTCTCTACTCTTCCCTGAAACTGAGTTATTACGTTAAGGCTCATTGATATTTTATTCCTCATAGGCAGGATCGTGAGGGCATTAGGAAGAACTTGGGTATTTCTTTGTTAGAGATGGACAAAGTAGTTCTATATACAACAAGGTTATTTGCTGGACCCAGCCCTACATTACATTGTATGATTTTTGCCTCGTCAGCTCTTATTACAGTGACTATCCCCTTGTAGAGAGATACTCAAGTATTATTTGTTGTAACTTGAATGAAGAAACAGCACTTGAGTTGGAAATAGGAAAAAGGCAACTCTTCACAGTTTGTGTTTATGTGCCCAGAAATGCTTGTTGACTACACACAAACACCATGCTGAAATATAATCATCCAACGAAATAAAGCTAAGCTGAGATAATTACCACTGGGATATTTTTAGTCAATAATAATTATATGTTAACCAACTGGTATTTTCTGCCAAACGAGAGATGGCATTTCTGTTGATGACACGTTGCATGTGTTCTTTCTACAGCTGTATCTTCATGAGTCAACAGGCTTTCTCTAAGTCTCTCTGCAATAGGAATTAACAATCAGACCATCTTGCTCTTTTTTTTATTGCCCTTTTTGCTCCACTTGATGTAAACAGGGATACTGGCCATTTCTTAAATGATTTTTATTTTTCTACTATTTTTCTCAGCATACCAATTTTCCCTTCAATACTCAAGTTTAACGTTGAGAGAGAAATGAATTTTGCCCCCCTCAAAGCCTCTGTTTACATTTAGTTAATGAGATAATTTGTTTAAAGGCTAAATACCATTACTCATATGCTAAAGTTTCACACCATGTAGAAAGTTTATAGAAACACATTAAACTGAATGCCAAAACTATCTAGACCTCACTAAAAATTGGGATCTATGTGCCTCATTTTAGTGAAGAAGTTTGAATTAAGAGAGATCACATCACTCTCTCTGACATCCAGGGTGAAGTCTCAGCATTATGGACTCCATCCTCACCGTCATCTTGTACTAGTTAACTTTTCCCTAACTGGTAACCTACACATAAGAATATTGCACTTTTTCATTATGACTGACAGAGATCCTAGTATTGGTGTATGGAGACTATTAGATAAAAATCTTGGCATTAAAAGCAGGAGAAGGAATATGGAAAAATGCAGAGCTGTCAAGAAGGCTAATGCATATAGGTTTTAAGAACCACATGAAGGTACTACTTTTGGAACACAGTGGAAATCAAATGCATGACTTATCAACATAATCATTTTTGGATAGTATGCACTACTTGAACATATTTAACTAATCCAAAGTCTTCCAAGGCTTGGATATACACTGGTAGAATGATGATTAACAACAGGACTTATATCTGTGCTTTCTTATGACTCCAATAAATATGAAGTCCTTACTACTGGACACTGATTGTGTAAGCAGTATAGCACCCATAGAGAGTGATCACAATCTGAGATCATTCTATCTTATGGTAGCTAAAACAGTGCACATTCAAGGATATATGAGAATACACTGAGTAAATACCAGATGTAGAAGGAAAGGATTTTGAAGTAGTATGTGAAATGGCTCACAGCACATGAGTTGGTGTCAGACGAATCTGGATTTGAGACCTGGGTCCTCATCTGAATAACTCTATAATCGTCATCAGCTAAGTTCTTTAAAGTACAGTTTCCAAATTTATACATCTGAGGTACCAATATCCATAACATAAATATAAAATAAAAAAGATGTTTATAATAGTGTTATTTTAGCACATATAAATAAGCATTTATTATAATTATAAATATATAAATAATTTGTCCAAGATTCATTTCATTAAACTGAGAAGAGAAATAACATATTAAAAATATTTATCCCATTTCTCCAAATCAATGGGAGAAAAGTACAAGATGAGTTGTGGGGGTGGATAGATGAGGAAAAGACAATGTCTTTACGGTATTTCCAGTTCACTTCTTTGTTTGCCTTGCTCAGTGTAAGTAGATCTTGGGGAATTAAAGAGTCAGCTGATATGATGATTTGTTTGTTACCAGAACCTCAGCATTCTAAGGAGATATACTATTGACCTAGAAGACTGGGGCCTGTGTTCTCTCAGTAACCACTTGTATTTTCCAGGACAAATAAGTTCTCATCTTCTCATCTGTATAATAAAGAGTTGGTTCTTATGGTCATTAAGGTCCCTTTTAGGCACAACTATTTGCTGATATAATAACGTCATCTTCAATTTACTTATTCTCTGTTGTCGATGGGAAATCAATTCAAAGTCTCGTATTTTTATGCTTTTTTTTTGATTATTTTGTTTTCTTCCCCCCGCAAAGCCTGAAATTAACTGGCACAGCTGTGGAATTAGTAAAACCTACTGAGGCTCTAGTCGTTGGTGACCTTTAGTTTTAATAAGCTGTGCTGGGTTTTATTGTCTATAACTAGTTTCTTTTAAGTAGATATGTTCACTTTGATATCATATTAATAGAAAACTCTCTAAAATATCAGCCTTAACATAAATTGTTGAACTGCATTTTAGAGTTCTTACTTTTTCATTTTTTAATTCTTATATTTCACAAATAAAGATGTATGCTTTCATTAAAACGTGTATACATAATTACACTCATCCTCTTAATATCACATATATATAACTAATATTTTTAAGAGCATAAGTGGAAAACATGCAAAACCAAGTGAATATAATTTATATAGGATATTATCTTCACAATAATATTGGATTCAGGACAGATGATTAGATGAGCAAGATATTATAGTTTATAGATCGGACTGTATTTAATATAGTTTGTATTTTAATTTCAGTGTCTGTGATTTAAATTACAATGAATTTTTTAAAATTGCATATAAATGCATTGTTTTAGACAGATTAATTCTTTATATTCATAGTCATCATTAAATGAGTTTTTCAGTATGGTGAAAACATTATTTTTTCTTTCTATGAAGATCTTTGTGTAAAGATTTCCTTCAGTTTTATTTGAAAGAATCCATTACCTTCAAAATAGTCATATTATTTTTTCTTTGCCAGTATAAGAAACTAAAGTTATTGTTATGATTTGCATATTTATATTGAATTTTCCTTTGTCATTTATATTATTTCTATTTATTTAAAAAGTATATGTGAATAGGCTGGGTGCGGTGGCTCATACCTCTAATCCCAGCACATTGGGAGGCTGAGGTGGGCAGTTCGCTTGAGGCCAGGAGTTTGAGACCAGCCTGGCCAACATGGTGAAACTGCATCTCTACTAAGATTACAAAAATTAGCTGGACATGGTAGTGCGTGCTTGTGATCCCAGCTGCTCGGGAGGCTGAGGCATGAGAATCGCTTGAACCCAAGAGGTGGAGGTTGCAATTAGCGGAGATTGTGCCACTGCACTCAAGCCTGGGTGACAGAGGAAGACTGTCTCAAAAAAAAAAAAAAATCTATATGTGAATAGATAAGATTAAATAAAATATATCTAATGCTAATAAATGAAACTGGTAAAAATTGAACAGCTTATCAAAGTCTGAATGACCATCGAATGTTTTAGTGGTAGACTAGAAACTGAAGCCACCTTCCACTTCTGCAGAACCATGACAAACTGGGATAGAACCCATGGTCTTTTAGCCTTTGAATTCCAGTTGCTCTTAGAAGTTCCATATCAGGATAAATTGAGGTATGAGGAGAAAGGATTGTATTAAATTCATTAAGGGCCAATACAGTTTTCTGGCTCTGGGAACCATTGTGTATTCTCAGAGAAGAAGAGAGAGAGCATTGGAACTTGTTACTTTCTCTACTACACAGCTCATAGAAGGCAGAAATTTATTTGTTTTTGCATAACTACAGAACTCATTAAAGAGGTAGATCAAATTTTCAGACTTGATCTGTCTAGGGTGGTTTCTAGGAGTGGCAAATTATAAGCTGGTATACCAAGCATGAATTGGAGTTGGCTAGGCCAAGTAAGGGATGGTGATACATTAGGGTACTTGGACAGATGAAATAGCACATATGGAGGTCCATAGATGAAACAATGAAGTGTAATCTAGGACCTGAAAGAACTTTGTAGTTAGTTGAATGTATACATTGAGGTCATTATATAGGGGAGATGAAGATTGGTGCCATGAAGTGAGATAAAAATTATGCAGAGATTGAATTATGCAGTTTCATCAGAGATTGGAAAATTATGCAGAGATTGAATTATGCCGTTCATCAAATATATAAAGAAATTTGGAATCGATTCTAAAAACTAGGAGGATACAACAAAGTGTTTTAAGTGAGACTGATGTAATCAGATTTTCATTTTTTTAAACTTGGATTTGAAACTAGTAGAGCCTTAGTGTCTTAGATCCTCTTAACAATGAAGGACAACAGTTTATTCACAGACATTTTAAATAAGAATGCAGATCCCCAAAGAATTGAAATGACTTACATCACATTCCTCCTAAAAATGTCAGTAAAAAGATTGATAAAGCCCAGGTTTCTGTTCTTGGAGGTATTCTTTTGAGAATGTGAGAGATGTTAAAATTCTTTTTTTTAATTAGAAAATCACATTCTATTATAGGCTGCTACATGTAATCAACCTCACCAAAAAAAAAAAAAAGAAAAAAAAAGAAAGGGAAAGCATTACTGAATGCTACCTGTCCCAAACATTAGTGAAACTGATGGATAACATTTTTTAAAAGTATTTATCCCAGCATAATACAATTTTCTATTATGAGAGCGAGGTATAGAATTAAAGCAACTATCAAAATAGCCCATATCAGATGCAATCTTTACCCTGAATAACAAGACTATTAAAGGATAGGAGTCTAACCAAAGGGACTTTTAAAAGTGTCTGTCATTTGCTGATGGTGGCACAGATTTTATTACTCTACAGGTCAGAGGGCCACGTATTTCTCTGTTTATAGTGAGGTGGGTTTTTTTTAATAGTACATTTATCTTTCTTGAATATGGGAAATCCATACATAGTTACTGTGTTAGAATTCCTCACTAAGAATAATTCTCGATAATCAACGCTATCAGGAGTTGAGGGTGGCATAAGAGAGTTCAAGAATAAGATGATAATTTGATGATGGAAAAATAAGTGAGTTCTCCTAATGCATACCTCCTATCATTGTAGACAAAAGTTTATGTTCTCAAAGCTGTTTTCACGTACTACACTCTTCACCTCTATGTGATTTGTTTGCTAGAGCTGCTGTAAGAAAATTCCAGAGACTGGGTGGCTTAAATGAATGAAATGTATTTTCTCATGGTCTGGGTCCCGGAAGTTTATGATCAGGGTGCTGGCAGCACTGGTGCCCTCTGAGCCTGTCTTCTTGGCTTGCAGACCCCCACTCTTCTGCCTCTCCCCATGGTCCTGCCTCCGTGCATGTGCACCCCAGTATCTCTTTTTACGTGTATAAATTTCCTCTTCTTATAAGGATGCCAGTCAGACTGGATTAATTTCCACCCTAATGACCTAATTTTAACTTAATTTCTCTTTAAAGATTCTGTCTCCAAACACAGTTACATTTTGAGGCAGTAGGTTTAGAGCTTTGACATGTGGGTTTCAGAAGGACACAGTTCATCCCATAATAACCTCCAAAGACGTCAATGCTAAACAGCCTCCATGAGCTTATTACCAACTCAAAAACATCGCTTTCTTCCCAGGCCTTCCCTGTTTGTTTTACTTGACTGATTAATGTATGCTGCTCTTTGAAGCTCAGTTTCTTTCTCCAGTGAAGACCTACTGTTTTCCCACCTTCTTCTCTAACTCCTACTTTGCACTGGTTTACAACTCAGCTCACAATATTCCCAAGTTACTTTATCAGTAAAATGTTTTCAATAGATGAAACTCATAGCAAGTCAATACACCATTTTCCACTTAAATTTGCATTATTTTACATTGGATTCTAATTGATCCATACAGCTCGATTGTCTCCCCATCTAGTTTGCAGTTGATGAGAATGGGAATGACACATTATATTTATTTTGTATCTTCATATGTGTTGCTGTACATACTATATACAATGATAGAGTGCTGTGTATATATTATATTCTCAAATGATTCAATTTGATTCAATTTCTGATAGTGAAATACCCAGCTACCTGATTCTGCTGGTTTTCAATGTTACTTTAATTGGCGTGAATTTCCAGCAATTAGCTTTCCTTCACCATACATACTTTATAACCCTCTAGACTGCTCAAGTTGGCTGGGCCTGGTCTTCCTGACCCAGACCATTGGATGTTTAAGATCACATTCCAGGCATGAGGATGGCTGCACATCTATTACCTCACAGATTGTCAAGCTTGATTATTACTGATGTGGATGATTATCTAGGTGTCCTTATACCTCAGTGTTCCCCCTGTGCCTTTTCAAGAAGAGTATTTTACCCAGTACAGAACTTTTTTAGAAATCAAGGTTATACAAGCAACTGTGCTCATTTGTGATCATCTTGAAATCCGTAAATACTGTCCGAGTATATTACTATGTTAGGTGAAAGATTTGTGTTGCTCTCCACAAATTATCAATGTTTGTTTACAGAACATTTGTGAAAAATAATGTTTGGAAATGACTTGCTACGTGAAGTAAGTAACCAGTAACTCAAGCCATTTCTCCCATGTGGTCTGTTTTAAAAATGGAAATTCTGTAATCTGGCTTCCTCACCTTGGAGTAATATACAAAATGTCAAAATGAGAAAAGGGACCTTGGTAGTTGTTGTGTCTTTCTTGTTTATTCTTTCTTGTTAAATACTCAAAGAAAGAAAAACAGCATGCAATGTTTGTAGCTCCCATTGTGTTAGCTTTTTACTGTCCTGACATATGTCCTAAAGTTTAAAAAGCAATAAAAGGTTGCTGCTTCCACAGTCATTAGCTTTCGTTGCTGCAGTCAATCATCCACAGAGGTCAGAGCCGTATCAGTTTTTCCCATCCTCATTGCACAATCCACTCTAGCCATTGCACTCATATATCATTAAAGGAAAAACGAACCAAGGAAACTACCGAGACTCAAAAATGAACTTGCAATGTGAAAAATCTCCTATCTCCTTATTTGAGGAAAGATGCTCCTGTCACGCTGAGTAAACAATAAAATTATAAGGCCAACACTGTAAATGGAAGTATTATCCCATCTATTGATTTATAATGGGTTAATTAATTTTCAAGTGTTCTTATTTGCAAAACATGATGTGAACATTGACAGAAATCCTTAGATAGTTTAAGATGAAGTCACTTTTGTCTTAGTGACTTGATCACTTATACTTAGGCCATAGTTAAGAATCTAATAGGATTATTTCAGCAGAGTGTTGCCAGATTCATGTATAAAGTCAAGAAGTAAAAGAAAAATATAAGTTAGTCATGTTTGAGTTGGGTGATGTAACCTGGAAACAAATCTGACTGGACTAATAATAACAAGTTAATAAACTCACTGTGAACAAATCAATTAAAAACCTAGGCATTGTTATATTTATTTGCATCTTACTGTCTAACTAGACTTTAGTTGAACCACACTTCATTTCATTTTAATTCAAGCACTCATTGATAATATATTTTGCATTTCTTAGATAATTTCAAAAAAAGATAGTGTGCCATAGTCATATTATTATAAGGGACTAGAGTTATATTCTAAGTCTTCTGACATTCAATAAAATTGTTATAATTGGGTTAGACATATATGAATTACAAAACATGGGTTTGAAAGTGGTCACCCAAGCATGATTAGGAAAACTGCATACAAGTAGTCTTACTAAATACAAGTTGTACCACTCCTTGCTTCATCCCTCAGAAAGAGGCATGATGTTGTCACTGCTGCTCATCTTCAGCTTCCACTTTAGTTTCTGACTAATTCTGCCCTAGCATTTTCTTCCTGTGCTTTTGGCTGTGATTTTCCGGTTACTTGAATTTCTTGTCTGCCTTCTTTGAGCTAGAATTTTCAGGTTTAGTGTTTGTATTGTTCTGACTTTGTGTTTGGGAAGACTGCTGCCACAAGTATGTCCCGGTGTATGTAATTATATTCTTGACCAATGCTCCTTGTCTCTGTCCACATAACCTCTGTTGAATCCCAAATGTGTACCCTTGGCAAGTTGCTGGGTTTAGTGTGAGAGTCGATACGGCAACATCACATAGAAAAAATGTTCACGGCCAATTTCTAATTTGATAATGTGATGAAATTTATGGATGCTTTCCTCATTAAGATGTTCATCACACAAACAGCTGCATATAATTTAAAGACATATTCATGCATATGAACTTAAAAACTCATGGTTTAGAGGTGTTTTTAATGCATTTCCCTGGAGTTTTTCATTGTATATGACTTTTTTTTTTTTCCTTCTTTTGTCCCTTGGTTATATTAAGCTGCCTCTTAATACTTAGAAAAGCAGTGCTTAAGAAATTGGAATATCTCTTTCCATAAATATGTGATAAAATGTATTGTAACTTATATGATTTATTAAATTGAGTCACGCCTGAAGCAAATGCATTATTAAGTAGTTAAAAAATTCATGACATGTCCTTAACACACTGAGAGTGCCTTAGAGGAGTTCATTCATCTGATAAATATGTGTTTAAGAAAATTGCTTGAAATGAATCTCTTTTATGAGTTTTGGTAATTATTGTTCTTATTTAAGACTTAGATATATATAGCATAAATAACAGAATGTGTTTTTCACATAGGGTTGTGGTTTGTTTTTGAATGCAAATAGTCAGTCTTTTCTTGGTGGGTATATAATAAAATGCTTTTTTTGCATCATTAAAAGTTCTCAATAGTCTATGGTGTCCTAGAACATATTATCTACATTGTATATAACTATGTTTCTGTTTTGAGATTTAAAGGAACATATGCAATAGCAACTTTATATGAGATTTGATTTTTCATATCAGACTTCAGCCTCAAGCATTTAGTTGAAGAATGAAGATCTTAAATTTTGACTTTTCTGTTTTTAGCCAGACATGTTCAAAATAAAAGTGCTATTTAAAAAGAGGTCTGTTTCCATGTCATCTGAAATAGGGATGTTTTAATTTATGTTATAGTTTGAGATACACCAAATCAAAGGAACAAGCCTGCCTCAATAACCCAGTATAATTTTCCTATGGCTGCTGTCACATAGAGAGCACACTTTTTTTTAAGTTACAGCTTTCCATCCCTTTAGCACTTAATCATGTAGAGATTTGTATCGTTGATTATGCATAAAATAATTTGACTAAATACTCTGAGGCAGTGTCGGTGACATTTTGTTGCTGTTGGTACCACCTCTTGTTTCATTGCTACTACTATTAGTACCATCATCTTTGATAATTACTACAATTTACTGAGTGCTCGCATTGTTTCTAACATGAAGAAAAGGGCTTTATTTTAACTATGTTGCAGATAAGAAACTGAGATCTAGTGATTTTAAATAACACACACAAAAGAGAAGTATTGGGTGGATAATTATTTCTGTTTCTTTTTGTAATCCATGTATGCAATTCAACAACACACAATAATAATAGTATAAACTATGATCAAAACTCTTGATAGGCTTTTTATAATGCGATCGGACAACACTATTTAACTTTCTCATTTATTATTTATCTAAACTATTTGAATAATTTCAAAATATTCTCTGCTTTTCAGGCTACTTGATTTGCAGCCCAAATAATCTCAAAATTGTAATAAGTCAAGGAACATTTTTAGCCCGAATTATTAAAAAATTGCTTTAATTTTGCTTTAGAATCAACTCCTCACTACCCATTGCATTTTAGTTTTATGCGTTTCTTTATCTTCTATTGATGGACTTTGTAATATATTAATTTATATGCTTAAAGTCCCATTTAGCTATAGTTTTCCTTTTGATTTAAATGTAACTTAAAGAGAGGAAGGAAAATTTTTATTTCATCACAACTTCTTCCAAGTATTTTATAAAAATTCTGATGGTTCTCTTTACTGAACTTCTTCTAAGTGTTTCATAAAAATTCTAATGGTTCTCTTTACTGGCTTGTATTAGCTTGTACTTTCTTTGCTGTAAGGAAATATATGAGATGGGGTCATTTATAAAGAAAAAAAGGTTTAATTGGCTCATGGTTCTGCAGGCTGTACAGGAAGCATAGCAGCTTCTGCTTCTGGGGAGGTCTCATGAAGCCTCCAATCATGATGGAAGGTAAAAACAGAGCAGGACGTCTCATATGGCTGGAGCAGGAGCAAGAGACGGGGAGGGGTGCTACACACTTTTAAATGATATCTCATGGTAAATCACTCATTCACTATCATGAGAACAGCACCAAGAAGATGGTGCTAAGTCATTCATGAAGCACCACCCCCATGATCCAATCACTTCCCACCACACGCCGCCTCCAGCACTGGGATTACAATTTGACATGAGATTTGGGCAGGAACACAGATCCAAACCATGTCATGGCTGAATTTACCAAATCAACTGTGAATGGAAAGAAGTGAATGAATGCTAGCAAGTAAATGTATTTCAGATTAAATTTTTTTAGGGAACTAGAAGTAAATTGCCCTGTTTAAAAAATGAATTTATAATGGACTTCTAGCTTTGGCAGCATGAAGATGTTGTCACATTCTCTCCAAAAAGCAAGTACAGATGCTTCTAGACTTACAATCATGATATCTACCCATAAGTAAAAAAAAAAAAAATCTTCAGTTCAAATATGTTTAATACCCTTATACCCACCATAATATCAAAAGTTGTAGGTTGAGAGACTGTAAGTCCAGATGCTTCCTGACTTACGATAGGATTACATTCAGATAAACCCACTGTAGAGTGAAAATGTGTATGTTGAACCCTAGTAACTCAGGGACCATCTGTGTGATATTGGAAAAAAATAGAAACAACATTTCAAGGCACATATGTCAACAAAAAGCAGAAAACGAGTTAATAAAATTTACTTTTGAAATAAATGCAAGAGTTGCAAGTTAGAGGAGTATCTGTGGCCTTCTTTCCAGGTCGCTGCCATCTTCACTCCCCACGTCAATAGAGTCAGCAAGAATAGTATTTGTAACAGCGGGCATTGAAAACCAACAGTTTCGAGGCTATGCATGGGGAACTTCCTCAGTTTGGAGTAGCAAGTGAAAACCTATGGCTTTGCCAGCTAAAAGTGAGTACTTAGGTGGGAACAACTGAGCAAAACATTTGTGTTAGCACACAGAGGTCCTGGTTGGGGGAGCAATGGACCAGCAAGAAAGTTAGCCAAGAGATTCTGAAAATGAGCGAGCCATAGAAGGTCTGAGATAAGGTCTCGCATATCACTGGCTATTAGGGAGGCCTGAGAGGGATTTGAGAAACAGAAGCTGAGGAAGACTTGAGGACTCACTTCAACTTTAAGTGTGTTTTCCAAACCACTCACTAATAAATGTGAAGTGGGTAGACACCTTATGGAAACAAAGCCTTTGAGTACATCCTCTATCCAAATAACTGGGTGATCACTAAACTATGAAGACATGCTGGAGGGCCAGGCTCATTCCTATAATCCCTGAGCTTTGGGAGGCCAAACTGGGAGGATCATTTGAGGCCAGGAGTTTGAGACCAGCCTGGGTAACATAGAGAAGTCTTTCCCTGCAAAAACATTTTTTTAAAATGTATCTGGGCTAGTGGTGTGTGCCTGTAGTCCTAATTACTTGGGAGGTTGAAGTGGGAAGGTCACTTGAGCTCAGGAATTTGAGATTACGGTGAGCTGTGATCAAGCTATCACACTCCAGTCCGGGCGACATTGTGACACCCTGCCTGTAAAAATAAATGAATAGATAAATAGACGCAGGGCAGTATTCCTAGAAAACAAGGCATAAAAATACAATAGTAATGGTAAAATACAATTAAGTAGAGTATCAGTGGCTGGGCTACACATCAAAGCTAATTTTAACACACATACACAGAAATATAAACTGCATTCCAGAGTTGGTATGATGCATTTTCTAATATATTAAATTTTCAACCACAAATTATGTGATATCCGAAGAAACATGAAAGTGTGACCAATACTCAAAAGAGTATTGAGTCAATAGATATTGACACTACATGGGACCAGATATTGGATTTAGCAGAAAAAAAAAAATTCAAAACATCTACTATAAATATTTTCAAAATATTGAAGGAGTGACATCAGCAAAATGGCGGAGTAGGATTCTTGGGCTTCACTCTCCCTATAGAAATCCAATAGCAACACAGGAAGTATACCATCCTAAATGTCCCAGAACTCAGGAGTGAGGCTAAGACTTCCCTTGGACCCTTGGACTTCAGGACAAAGAAAAATGGAAATCAAATATTAAGACTTCAGATGTTTCACCTCGTTGCCCTTTCTCTAGGCCAACACAGTACCATACACAGAGAATTCTCCTGGACCCACAGTTTCTACAGTTGGGAAAGTTAGTTGGAAGCAAATCTTCAGTTTTCCCACCATTCAGGCACTCTTTACAGAAGGCTCATTCCTATTTTGTCCCACAGGAAACATTGGGATTACAAGCAGGGGTGGACCACCTGGGGTCAGTTGGCAAAAAAGAGCATTTAGGAGCAGCTTTAAAAAAGAATAGACAAACCTTTAACTAGACTTACTAATTACAAAAGAGAGGTTATTCAGTAAACAAATCAGAAATGCAAGGCGAGGCATCACAATTTACACCACTAAAATACGAAGAATCATAAGAAACTATTATTAACAATTACACACCAGTACATTGGATAACTTAGAAGAAATGGATAAATTCCTAGACACATGAAAGCTTTGAAAACAAACACAAAGAAATAGAAAACTCAATAGAGCAATAATGAACACAGAGACTGAATCAGTTTAAAAAAAAAAAAAAGTCTTCCACTGAGGAAAAGCGCAGGACTGGACGGCTTCACTGCTACATTCTACTAAACATTTAAAGAAGAGATAATACCAATTCTCAAACCATTCAAAAAAACTGAAGTATAAACAATGCTTCCAAACTCATTTTATATCCCAAACTCATTACCACAACACCAAAGGCAGACAAGGACACTACAAGGAAAAAAAAAAAAATATATATATATATATATATATGTGTGTGTGTGTGTGTATATATATATGTATATATATGTGTGTATATATATATGTATATATATATGTGTGTGTGTATATATATATATATGTATATATATATGGCAACATCATTGATAAAGATACATTTTTTAAATCCTCAACGAAACTATTAGCAAACCCAGTTCAAGAACACATTAAAAGAATCATTTTTCACAATCAAGTGAGAGTTATTCTTAGGATGCAAAGATGGTTCAAAATATGCAGATCAATAAATGTGATGCACCACTTTAACAAAATGAAAAAAAATGAGAAGATGCAGAAAAAGCATTTAAGAAAACTCAGCACCCTTTTCTTATAAAAATTCTCAACAATTAACTATACGGAAAAAATGTACTTCAGCACAATATATGACAAACACATAGCTAGTATTATTCTTAACAGTGGCTAGTTGAAAGCATTTCCTGTAAGATCAGGGACAAGACAACGATGCTCACTGTCACTACTTCTCTCTTTCTTTCTTTCCTTCTTTTTTTTTTTTTTTTTTTTTTTTTTTTTTTTTTTTGATACAGAGTCTCACTCTGTTGCCCAGGCTGGAATTCAGTGGCATAATCTCAGCTTACTGCAACCTCCGCCTCCCAGGTTCCAGCGATTCTCCTGCCTCAGCCTCCAGAGTAGCTGGGACTACAGGCACCTGCCATAACACCCAGCTAATTTTTGTATTTTCAGTAGAGATAGGGTTTCACTGTGTTGCCCATTCTGGCCTCTAACTCCTAACCTCAAGTGATCCATCCACCTGCTTCAGCCTCCCAAAGTGCTGAGATTATAGGCATGAGCCACCGTGCCTGGCCACACCACTTCTCTTTGATAAAGTACTAGAAATCAGAGCCAGAGCAGTTAGGCAATAAAACAAAATAAAAGGCATACTAATAGGAGAGAAAAAAGTGAAATTGTTTCTCTTTGTTGATAAGATGATCTTATGTGTAAAACACCTTAAAGACATCATAAAAAAACTATTAGAACTGATCAATGAATGCACTAGAGTTGCAACATTCAAAATTAATGTGCAAAAATCAGTAGCTTTTCTATATTGCAATAATGGTCTATCTTAAAAGGAAATTTTTTAAAAAATCTCATTTACAATAGCAATAAAAAAGTTAAATATATAGGTGTAAATTTAACTGTAAAATACCTGAGTATTAGACCATTCCCACATTGCTATAAAAATATATTAGACTAGGTAATTTATAAAGAAAAGAGGTTTAATGGGTTCACGCTTCTACAGGCTGTACGTAAAGCATGATGCTGGCATCTGCTTGCTTTTGGGGAGGCCTCAGAAAACTTACAATCATGGTGGAAGGCAAAGGGGGAGCAAGAATGTCACATGATCAAAGCAGCAGAAGTGGGAGGTACCACATACTTTTAAATGACCACATCTCATAAAAACACTCACTATTGCAAGGACAGTATAAACAGGATGGTCCTACTCATGAGAAATCTGTTCCCATAATTCAATCACCTCTAACCAGGCCCCATCTCCAACACTGGGGACTACAGTTCAACAGGAGATTTAGGTGGGGACAACATCCAAACTATATCAACTTATATACTGAAAACTATAAACATTGAGGAAAGAAATTCAGGGTAATACAAATCAATGGAAAGATATGCCATGTTCATGGATTAGAAAAATTGATATTGTGAAAATGTTTATGCTACCTGTCTTCATCTGTTCTGTGTTGCTATTATAGGATACCTGAGACTGGGTAATCTATTTTAAAAAAAAAGACGTTTATTTTGGCTCAGCATTGTGGAGGCTGGAAAGTGCAACATTGGGAAGCCACATTTGATCAGCATCTGATGAGGGCCTTTTACTTCATCATGACATGGAAGAGAAATGGAAGGGGAAGGAGGCACACAAAAGAAAGGCCAAATTGGAGAGGCAACTTCACTTTATAACAATCCATTCTTTCAAGAATTATTCCATTCCTAAAATAATCAACCCAATCTCAAAAGACATGAATCCATCTTAATGACCTATTTTCCTTTTAAAGGCAGTACCTCCCAACAGTGCCACATTGGGGAACATGGTTCAACATGAGTTTTGGTAGAAATAAACCACATTCAAATCACAGCATTCTATCCCTGGCTCCCCCTATAACTCATGTACTCACAATGAAAAATGTTTTCAACCCATTTCAATAGTACCCAAATCTTAACTTATTCTAGCACTAAGGCAAAAGTCTAAAGTCCAAAGCTTCATCTGGGACTCAAGGCAAAGTCCTTCCAGCTATAAGCCTGTAAAATAAAAAATAAATGTATTTTCTAAATACAATGGTGGAACAGGCATAAGATGAGTATTCTCCTTCCAAAAGGGAGAGAGAGGCAAAAAGAAAAATCAGCCCAAAGTAAGCCTGAAGCCCAGCAGGGTAGACATTAAATCTTAAAGCTCAGAATATTCTTGTACTTCATGTACCTTTTCCTGGGCACACTGGGGTAGAGGAGGGGCTTCAAGACCTCGGACAGGCCCACCTCCAAGACTTTGCTGGGTGTAGCCCGTGTGGCTACTGTCATGGATTGGGGTTGCATGCTGGTGCCTGCAGATTTCCTAGGCTGGTGTCGCATGTTGCTGATGACTTCTGTGGGTCTGGAGTCCAGAGGGAAGTGGCCCTGCTCCCATGGTTCCACTGGGCATTCTAGAGAAGACTCTCTGTGCTGACTCTGCCACTGTGACAGATTTCTGCCTGAGCTCCTAGGCAGTTTGACAAAAACTTTGAAATCTAGTTGGAGGCTGCTGCACCTCCTCCACTCTTGCATTCTGCCTGCATGCGGAATTAGCACCATATGGATGTGGATATTGCCAAGGCTTACGACTTTTGCCTTTTGAAGCTGCGGCATGAGCTGTACCTGGGATCCCTTGAACCATGGCTGGAACAGCCAGAGCAGCTGGGATGCATGGAGCAGAGAATCCTGAGGAGTGTGCTTGAGGCCTATCCCCCACAACATTCCACCCTTGGAGACCTCTGGGCCTAAGATAGGAGAAACAGCCTGGAAGATCTTTGAAATGCCTTTGGGGTCTTTTTCCCACTGTCCTGATAAATGGCCTCTGGCTTTGTTCTCTTCACACTAATCTATTTAGTGAAGAGTTGCTGTACCGCACCCTTGGCTTTTCTTCTGAAAACAGTTTTATTCTCTACCACATGGTCAAGCAATAAATTGACCAAATCTTTTCACTCTACTTCCCTTCTTTCTAGCAGTTCACTAGCAGTTAGAAGTAACCAGGCAGCAGCCTGAACATTTGCTGCTTAGATATGTCTACAAAGCCCTAGGACAGGGACACAATATGATCAAGTTCTCTGCTAATGTCTAACAAAGATGGCCTTTACACCAGTTCCCAGTAAGATAGTCCTATTTCCATCTGAGGTCTCATCTGAATGGCTTTTACTGTTAATATTTCTGTCAGCATTCTGGTCATGACAACTGAACCAATCTCTAAGAAGTTTTAAACATTTTTTTAGTCTTTTTTGTCTTCTTTTGAGCCCTCATTATATTATCCTTAATGCTCCACATACAGAAATACTATTTATAATAGAATATTATTCTACTTAAATGATAGGTAAGGGAGGTGATGGATATGGTAACTAACTTGTTTAAAAGAGAAAGATATGACTATGTGCTGTCTATAAGAGATGAGACTAACTTTAGATTGAAATATAAAAATAGGTTATAAGTAACTTGATTTAAAAATCTGTACCATACAAACATAACCATAAGAGAGTTAGAGAGGCTATATTAAAATCAGACAAAAACATATTTTAAACTAAGGTATATTACTAGTTATAAAGAGGGATCTTTTAATTAAAAAAAGGTCAACACGGAAGGAAAAGATAACAATTATAAAGGTACTTAACACTAGAGCTTTACAATATATGAAGTAAAATCTGACAAAATTGAAAAAACAGAAATGGACATTTCAACAAATATAATTGTGATTTCAACACCCTTTTCTTAATTGATAGAGAAAGAACAGACTAAATAAGTAAAGATACAACAAACATGAAAAATACTATTGTTGTAGAAAAAACCGGGTTCTTGTCACACGACCAGAAAATATTAGGCATGCAGACACTTTGAAGAGTGACGGGGAGTGGAATTTATTGGATGAAAATAAAAAAAACCCTGTCAGCAAAGCGAGAGGGGTTCCTGTTAACAGGTCTCAACCTCACAGATCGAATCCCAGGTCACCACCCAGGAACAGAAGAGGCCAGGCTCCTTCGCCCTGGAAACAGGGCGAACTTCCTGAGCCTCTACCCTGTCTCTGCAGTGCGCAGGTGGGCATTATTCAGAAATAATCAGTCAGGAAAAGGGAAGGCTTCATCTGGGACAGGCAGCCTGGTTTCTCAGCCTTCAGGCTGTTTCAGCCTTCAGCCTCAGGCGGGGTTTTGCCAGGGGACCCTTGGCTGCCTCCTGTCTCTATCATTCCCCCTCGAAAGGAGCACATCTAACTGCCCTTAGAATAAGGATAAGGATAAACACGAAGACCAATCTTAACTGCTTCCTGAAGACAGAGGGGGCTGCTTTGGGGAAATGGCAGTCAGATCTCCCTCAGAGGCCAATCTAAGCGTTCCTGGCAAAAGGGGCCATTGTCCAAGGCTCTGTTTGCATGACCATTTGGAGTCTGCTGGCCTGAAGGAGAGAAGGGACAAACCAGGTTATTAGAAAACATGTATCCAAATGAAACAAGGGGTGGGTGAGGACAGCTCAAAAACCCGAGGTCTTTTACGGGTGTGTACATGGAGAGGGAGGCTGAAAGCCCACTGGAAAAAAAAAAATACTTTTACCTTTTTGCCAGCGTGTTAGGCTTCTGGGTCCCCTTCCCCTGAGCCCAGTCCTAAGCCAACCAGTTTAAGGTTTGTGAAATTAACTCTTCCCAGTTTGGAGGATGCATATGACGGGAGCGTCCCAGAGTATGGACACACAATTACCTATCAGTGAAGAGAGGACAGAGGAGGAAAAAGGAAAAAAAAAGTAGTCATTTTTTTTCAAAGGATTCCTAGGGATTTAGGATGCATTCAAAAGGGGTACAGACTGAAGATGAATGGCTACTCATCTAGAATGAGGAGAGCAAGCGTCCCTGATTCCTTTCTCTTTCTAGCAAATACATGCGGTACGTGAGGGAGGGAAAATGAAGCATTCCTCTTTCTTTCCCCCATTCTTGTATCTCCCAGTCTCGGTGACCACGACAGGGTGCCATCCATGGGTGTTAAAGTGGCTTTCAACCATGTTCACAAGGGGACTTAGGTGATAGGAGTATCTGCTCTTACCCACATATGCCCCATCTCCCCTGCTGTCAGTAAACTTTGACAGGAACAGGAACTTTCCCAGGAACAGGAGAGGCCAGGCTCCTCCGCCCTGCAAATGGTACAGACTTCCTGAGGCTCCACCCCAATCTCCCAGTGCGCAGGCGGGCATTATTCAGAAAGAATCAGCTGGGAAAAGGGCAGGCTTCATCTGGGATGGGCAGCCCAGTTTTTCAGCCTTCAGGCTGTTTTAGTCTTGAAGGTGGGCTTTTGCTGGGGGACCTTTGGCTGCCTCCTGTCTCTGTCACTATCAACCAACTGGATCTAGTTGACATCTATAAAATATTTTACACAACTGTAAAATATACATTACTTTCAGGCATACGTGTAACACTCTCAAAGGGACCATATGCTAAGCATTAACAAATGTCTCAATATACATGAAAGGACTGAAATCATATAAAGTATATTCTCTGATCCCAATACAATTCTATTAGGAATCAACAACAAAATGAATAGTTGGAACATCTTCAAAATTTGAAAATTAATCATAAAGTTATAAGCCCATTGGTCTAAGACAACCTTTTGAGAGATATTAAAAAAATCATATGAATAAAGATGGAAACACAAAATTGAAAAGCTGATGGAATGTGGGTAAGCTAGTGCTTAGTGAGAACTATAGCTTTTAGCCTTAATTTTAAAAAACATAAAAAATTTAATGTTAAGAATGTAAGATTCTCTCCAAAAAACTAAAGACACACAGATCAAATCCAAAGTAATTAGAAGTAAATAAATAGTAGATCTCTGAGTGAAAAGAATGAAAAAGAAAGTAGAAAAGGAGAAAAACAGTAACTAAAATTTGTCCATTTTTAAAGATAAAGGAAGGAAAACAAAAAAAAATACTGATAGACTTTTAATTAGATTGACCAAGAAATAATGAGAGAAGAAACAAATTATCAAATTGGGAATGTGAAAGGATTCTCACTATAGAAACTGTAGAAATTTATAATGTAGGACTATAAACGGAACATTATGAACTACTTTATTCCAATAACTGTGAAAAACCTAGGTGAAATGGATAAATTTGTGAAAGACACAAATTACCAAAACAAACTCAACAAAAACAGAAAATAGTGAGATCTATATCAAAAAAATGAATTATTAGGAGACAAATGTGTAAAACTGACAAAATTTTTGAAGTCACTTTACTAAAGATCACATATGAACAGCATATACAAATGGCCAACAAAAGTGAAAATTGCCCAACATCACTAATGATTAGGGAAATGCAAAGCAAAACCACATGCGATACCAACTTACTTCTGCAAGAATGACCATAATTTAAAAATTAAAAAATAATAGACATTGGCATAGATCTTGTGAATCAGGAACGCTTTTACACTGCTAGTGGAAATGTAAACTACTATAACCACTACGGAAAACAGTATAGAGATTCTTTAAAGAACTAAAAATAGATCTACCATTTGATCCAGCAATCCCACTATTGCATATCTATCAAGAGGAAAAACCGTCATTAAATGAAAAACACACATGCATGCACATGTTTATAGCAGCACAATTTGCAATTGCAAAAATGTGGAACCACCCTAAATGTCCTTCGACCAACAAGTGGATAAAGAAATGTGGTATGTGTATATACCATGGAATACTACTAAGCCATAAAAAGAAACAAAATAATAACATTCACAGCAACCTGGATGGAAATGAAGACCACTATTCTAAGTGAAGTAACTCGGGATTGGAAAACTCAACATCGTGTGTTCTCACATATAAGCAGGAGCTAATCTATGAGGATACAAAGGCATAAGAACGATATAATGTTTTGGGTTTTACATTTAAGTCTTCAATTCATCTTGAGTTAATTTTTGTATAAGGTGTAAGGAAGGAATCCAGTTTCAATTTTCTGCATATAGCTAGCCAGATCTCCCAGCCCCATTGATTAAATAGGGAATCTGTGTATATATCCAAAGGAATATAAATTATTCTGTTATAAAGATACGTGCATGCATATGTTCATTGCAGCACTACTCACAATAGCAAAGACATGAAATCAACTCAAATGCCCATCAATGATAGACTGGATTAAGAAAACGTAATACATATACATCATAGAATACTATGCACCCATAAAAAGGAATGAGATCGCGCCCTTTGCAGGGACACGGATGGAGCTGGAAGCCATTATTCTCAGCAGACTAATGCAGGAACAAAAACCAAGCACCCATGTTCTCAGTTATAAGTGGGAGCTGAACGATAAGAACACATGGACACAGGGAGGGGAACAACACACACTGGGGCCTGTTTAGGTGTGAAGGGGAGAGCATGAGGAAGAACACCTAATGGATGTTGGGCTGAATACCTAGATGATGAGTTGATCTATGCAGCAAACCACCATGGCACACGTTAACCTGTGTAACAAACCTGCACATGCACCTGGCACTTAAAAGCTGAAGGAAAAAGACAAAAAGAATGATATAATGGACTGAGGACTGGAGAAGTGTGGGAGGAAGGTGAGGGATAAAAGACTACACATTGGGTGCAGTTTACACTGCTCAAGTGATGTGTGCACCAAAATCTCCTAAATCACCACTAAACAACTTATCCATGTAACCAAAACCACCTGTTCCCTAAAATCTATTTAAATAATAATAATTAAAATCACATAATTCTTATAGTAATTTAAACATCATTTTAATAGTTCTATATCACTTGTATTGATATTTTGATATAAAATTAGACTAATTTGTCTTTCATTTTTTAATGTTTTCACTTCTTTTTTAGTTACATTTTTTAATTTGTAAAACTTTTCTGTGGTTAAAATATCAAGAGCCGTAGTATGAAAAATAAATATACATAGAAAAGACTTACTTTAGGGGCTGGGCGCAGTAGCTCATGCCTGTAATCCCAGCACTTTGGGAGGCCGAGGTGGTGGGTGGATTATGAGATCAGGGGTTCGAGACCAGCCTGGCCAGCATGGTGAAACCCTGTCTCTACTAAAAATATAAAACATTAGCCGGGCATGGTGGCGCATGCCTGTAGTCTCAGCTACTTGGGAGGCTGAGACAGGAGAATTGCTTGAACCGGGCAGGCGGAGGTTGCAGTGAGCCGAGATTGCTCCACTGCACTTCAGTCTGGGCAACAGAGTGAGACTCCGTCTCAAAAAAAAAGGAGAGAAAAAAAAGAAAACACTCACTTTAATTCTGTCCATTGTTGAATGATGGCTGCTCAAAATTGTAGAACAACTGGTTTATTGGGAAAAAAAATTGTCTGTATTTGCATCTTGGTCAAGGACTATATTACCTTGATAAAGTCTTAGTAAAGTATTGAAAGGGGGAGGGAAAATTGGGGTATTTATGAAGCTTTGGAATATGATTTAAAGAAGTTCTTTTATGAGAGAGTTTCATTACGGAGAAGCAAGGATTTTAATGATTTACATTTGGTTGAGGTGGCAAGGTGAACATTTTGAGAAGCCTTAGAAAGACTTGGGGAGTAAGCTGTCATTTTATGCCTTCTATTGAAGAGCTGAACAATTTGCTCTTTATTGAAATAAGATTTTCAGAAAGTTCCTGGAATGAAAAGTTATTTGCAACTATTATCTTCTTGGGCAAGTTTCCTGCGATTATAAAGTCATGTTGACACACATGTAGTGGAATGGTTAAATCATGAAAATGTGGACAGTATGCTGTGTGGGGGTGGATGGTTTTGGTTCTCATGTTCCACCATGATTCTCTCTGTTCCTTAACAGTGTAATTTTTGCTAGTTTATTCATTTTCCATCTGGTGTTTACTTTTTAAGAAAGCAATTGCAGGTATAGCCATTGCTTTTCAGACATTTATTAATGCTTACCACACATTTACAGGAACAACTACTGTGAACCATGCATGGTGCTAGGTTTTAAAGATTAAAATGATTTAAGGGGAAATGAGATTTTCCTCCAAAATAAAAAAACTTACTCTAACTTCCAGATTTAATTGCTAAGCACACATAATTGCACCTAAAACAGGTTGATGAGGGATTGATGAGGGAGAGTATAGAGAAGCGCCTGTGTGGCAACTCTGTTCACATTTAATTAACTGTCTATAGATGGCTGCTACCAGCATTGATCAAATGACTACCTATACATATTTTACTCTTACACAGGAAAAAATTAAATTGGATCATGATATAATATTTATATAACTTTTTACCACCCATGTTTTAAGATATAAATTCTAGATTAATGGAGAATACATCAATTTTAGGCAATTTTACTAAGAAGAGCAGATATTGAAGAACAAAAAGAAACACTCTGTAAATACAGGTGTCTACTCGAAGGTTCATCGAAATTTAAATTTGTTGTGAATTCTTCACAATGAGACTTTTCATTTTCATTAGAATTCTTGCAGCATTATTATTCCAGGATTGGAATACAGTTGCATATGATAATCTTTGTTTCCTTTATAATAACTATGAGTGACTCAGTTAGGAATTCACCTTGGCACAGGACTAAGTTATTTCTGATCTACTCAATGGAGTGTATGTATTTAGGATTATTCATCCTTGTTTACTTAATGTGGTTTTCTTCACACATTGTTTTTTAGATGTCGTTTGAGAGAAACAAAACCTTTAACTCTTACTGAGAGGGAAGATGAATTTTCTAACCCTGGGATTTGGCTGCTCACTGAGTGTACACATAATAGATGGGTGCTTCCATTGTATTATTAGGGGCATTCAGTAGAGGGCCTCTCATCTACCAGGGCACAATTGAGTATTCCTGATTATTGATTTGTTTATTTGTGTTTATATATTTGTAATTCCCCTTTAAATACTAATATTATCAAGTGTTCTACCACATGTGATTTCCCTGTTCTGAGCTGTCTAACATTAAGTATAATGGCCAAACCCCATTTTCTGTGGGATTTGGGATTCTTGACCTAAGGACCACCCAGCACCATGCCCCTGAGACCTCCCATCCTGAACACAGCTAATCGGACTGGAGAAGTCCATCTGAGGAAGAGGAAGCAGTTGTCTTCTGTAGTCTGACCAGGAGATTAGCAAGAAGTCTGGCCCAAAAACTCTGCCCCACAGGTTTCTCTACCAAATGGTGAAGGCCAGGTGTTCAGTTACTTTTTCCTAAGGTGTTGAAACGTAAAGCATGTGGAAAACATGCAAATAGAAACAGCAAAATGGAAGCAAACAGAGACCATGAATCAGTAAAATCCATGAAATTAAGGGAAGTGAAAATCAAAGTCGGAAAATAGTGGCAGCCGCTCCACAGTAGTGGAGCATGAGGGTAGGTTATCTTCAAGTAGTGAGGTTTGTGTAAATTAGATTTCTTTATATTTTCTCTACTTTTTAATGCTCTGCAATTTAAAAAAATGTTACTTTTGTCATCAGGATAATATGTTCAAATTTTTAAAAAGTACCTAAAATTTTAAAAAATCACTAGCTTGATTTAACTAGATTTTCCTTTGTTTATCATCATGACTCTGCAAAAGCTGCAGCATCTGCTGCTTTATGAATGAAGTGCTGATTAGGCAAGCAAAAATACAGTTTTCCAGACCTCACATTTAGGCAACTGTTAAAAGCCTAGTTTCCGAGTCAAAGCCAGATATAAATTTCTACCCTGTGTCTCAACTCAGGGCCAGTTATGGATGGTGGAGAGTTTGAGATACTAGTGGTTAAGTTTAATTTCAGCTGCCTGTGTTTGTAACCATTTGACTTTATCTAAGGAAGGCAATTCTACACCTTCTCTCAATAATTTTTTTTTTCCACTTGGTTTTCTCTGACATAACTGAGATCATTGACATTCTGACTAGAGCCTAAGAAATTTCATGTATGTGTCTGATTCAGTGGTTCAAGGCCTTAAAGATAAGCCTTTAATTCTGAGGAAGAGCCTTTAGCTTCTCCCGTCTCTTAATACAAACCTGATTCATGCCAGGTTTGTCTAGGGGCTACGTGGATGGTTAATAAAAACATGTAATTTCTATCCCCCAAATTGTACCTATTTAGGATTAGATTTCAGAATCTTATTTGAAACTTAAACAGGCTTTAGAAATAATTTTGTCCCACTCTATTATTATAGAGATGAATAAATGTACTTTCAAGGCAAGTAGAGCGACTTGCCAAGATTACAAAAAAATGTCTGCGACAGAGCCGAGTCTAGATGTTTATCTTCTAGTTTCCAGCCAGATACTAGTTTTATGGCTAGTTTCCGCCATGCTCTGAGGGAGGCACATTTTCCATCATCTTTTATCTCAACACTGAATACTGTTTTTGACACATAGTAGGAAATCAATTAATACTATTTAAATGAATACAAATACATGATGTAAAATATATCAGAGAAGTCTATTATGTGTTTTCAGACAAGCTTTTATTTCTACAGTGTATATTTTTATGAAACTGATATGTATTTTTTTAGACTAATGTGCACCATCAAATAGCACTCATTTTTGAAACATTTTGAGCGTGATATGTATGTACCATCAAACGGAATTGAGTAATATCTGAAGTTGTACTGGGCACTCTGCCAAGATTTGTCCAAAGAAAGTAATGTGAAATTAGCTTTGCCTTTCTGAATATTTACAAAATCCAAGCAAAAAAAGAAAAATCCAAAGGGAAAATGCTGATCTCTGGAATACTTTGGACAATTCATGCATCAAAAGCCAACTGCAGAGCCACTATTTGCAAGTCAAGTCTCAAGATGGTATACTATCTCCAGGAAAAGGCTTGGAAGGTAAGTAAGCACTACTGTTGACCCCAATATCTCAATTTCCACGGAGAAACCATATTTGTTAAGATGCAGAGAGATCTCTCTAAAGTGCTATTGCCGAGATTAAATTTGAGCCATCTGAAGGCTTCGTCATTATCTTAGATCTTAGCCTTACTTGTGCCTTATTCTGTTCTTTAACTATCACTTATGCTGCAAACTGTGATCCTATTGTGATTTTACCCTTACTAGGTGGTTTTCCTGGTAAGATAAGTATTTGATTCTGCTCAAATTTCTCCTCTTGCCTTCCTAACTGGTCTCAATCTTTCTTTCTGCTTAGTATCATTCTGTCTCAGCACCCGTTTATCTGGCTGCGCTTTGGCCAGTTTCATTGTTTATGATTATTTGGTTTTGGTGCCTGCCTATATGATCAGTTCAAGTCCTAGCCGTGCTGGAAAATTTCTGGCCCCATTACAGACCAGACATTTCCACTCACAGCTGCTTCTGTATCTATCACAAGTATGCATTCATGCCCATGTGCATCAATCCTATATCAATAGTTGTTTCTACAGAGATAGCCTCTGAAGTCCATCCTTTTGTATATGGTCATAGGTAAACTGAAAATGGGAAGTAACAAGGTCTCTGTTAATTAAAAGGTCCATTAAGGGCTCAATGCCAAAAGTTGGATACGGGAAAGCTTGCCAAGTGCACAAGGTTAGAAACTTAATTGCACTTCTCTTTACCAAGATTTCTATCAACTGCAGTTCTCAAATATATGACCTTCCTTTAATTTTGTACTGATGTATAAAATGAGGATTTTGCCTGTTTTTGTACTTGCCATTTGGAGGACATATATGCATGCCTGCCATAAGTGGAATTTACATATGTATATGTAAAACTACGATTCTTGGCTTTATATCAGTGGAAAAATAAATCAGATTATGTAGATAGATCTGTCTTTATACCTGATTTGCTTTTATATATATATATATATATATATATATATATATATGCACACACACACATACATTCATATTTATTTTAATGGGCAAAATATTTGAGAATATTTACATGAAATTTTTTATGTAGTAATCTAATTTTGGAATTGCACTATTTCTTTTGTAGAACTCCAAAAATAATCAGTACACAAATTTGAAAGCAAAACAGTAAACTTGAAGTCATTTTTGGTTACTCTATCTTCTCAGAATACTGAGGTAATTAGACTACAGGGTGTCCTTCAATACTTGAAATTATATTTTGCTGTTTGCAATTAAGATGCACTGCAGAATATGTTGTCATGGAATGGCCACCCCAATGGCTGTCAAGCAGACATTTTTCTTAGCCAAGTCACACAGGTAAGTAACAAGGTAGATTCAAGGTTGATAAAAAGCAAAAGCAAATCCACACTTATTGGTTTCCTGGTGTGACATTGAGTATACTTTGGGATTTCACAGAAGGGTTAGTCAGAGTATTCCTTCCTATATTTTGATCAGTTGCTAATACAGGTTTGATTCCTCTTTCAAGTAGAAATGACTCAGCTATAAATTTATAGCTGCCTCTGTAGGTAGTTAATGCAGGTGGATAAGCAATATTGACAGCATGACTAAGTCTAGCCAAAGCAGGTGCATGAAAAATTATTAGTCCATTCTGCAAAACCCTAGGCCATCTATTCTGTAGGATTTATCTGTCTTTTCCATTCCCGGTATCAAGTTCTTAACTACTAAATTAAGCTTATACTGAAGAGGAGGAGCTAGGAAAATCTTCCTTAGATATTCAGATACTCAATATTCCATTAATCGATTAATTAAACAAGAAATCAATTAAATCACAATTTATTTGTGCACTTTTCATGTGACAAGCATTTCGCTGGTTCTGATCTCACAAGAGATAAACATAAGAAACCATTTCTGCACACTGAGAACTCAAAGGTTTTTGTGGGAGTCAGACCAGTTATGAGGCTGCGTTCCAGTTTCAAAAATAGCAGTTTATATAAAGAGATTGAAATTTCTGAGAAGATTAATAGAATTCAGACCTGAGAAGACCGCTCAAGTCAAGGGACAGTGCCAGAAGCGAGCATACCCCTAGCTGTGTTATCGCTGCCTGGTGATATCCTGTGGGTCTTTTTATTTTATAATATTTCAGAGATGTGTTCTGTAACTCATATATAGGGAGTCAAATTCTGTTATTTCTATTCATGCCTGGCATATAAGACTGATATGATCTTACTGTTAGACTTTTCATGAAGAATGGATGTTAGATTCAGGTATATATTTTTGAAGTTAAATGGCCCTTGTTACAGATGTACCAGAGCTCCCCAATATAGAAGCAGTTCTTCCAATATTAATTACTATGTGTTGTATATTACAAGTTGCCAAGGTACCAATAGAAAACACACAAAGTCACTGAATGGAAACCCCCCAAATAATGTAAAAAATATCACCTCTTTTAGCTCTTAGAAAATGATGTCGACTTCTTTCTAAAGGATATTGTTACTGGAGGGATGAGGAAAAAACTCAATTTGGAGGAAATTAGAAAATAATTTGCAGTTTAGAAGGGGGTTATCTTATATACATGTTGGTAATAATTCAACATTAACAATAAATGTTATAATAACAACATAGTTATCATAGTAAACTATTTTATACCAAAGCAGTAGTCCCAGAACTTAACACATACTAACTTTTGATTCTTATTACAGTGCTATGATGTAGGTATGTATGTCACCCCGCTTTAGATATAAGAAAAAAAGAGGCAAAAGGAGACCAAGTTTTTCCAAAATCACAGCTGGTAAGTGTCAAAGCCTAGATCAATCTAGATAGCCTGGTTCCAGGTGCCTTAGTCTTAGTCTTTTCAACTGTATGCTGCCTATGAATTTATGATACCTCACTTCTTCTCCTATGCTGTGCTCATGGTAGTTTATGTTAATTTTTCAGTTAAAACATTTGTCTTTTCCAAGTGTGCGGTCATGCCATTGGTCTATTTTTATACCACTACCTTTGAACTTTTCTCCGTCTGATGTATTTCTCTTATCTACATGTGTAGATCATTACCTCCAGAATAATAGTTGTAGCAATGGGCATTGTTGCCCTAATGGGAATTCTTCAATTGTCTTCCCCAATATGTGTGAGTTGGCTTTGAGGTTAAGCTAAATATATCTTACAGAGCTAAGGTTTATGTAAGAAATCAACTTCAGAAATCCAGCTGAAAGTCAGTAGTGTGAAGAGAGGTAGTCAGAATGTAAATCATTTCAAAGGTAGAGTTGAGAGCATTTCTTGATAGATTGGATGTGATGTGTGCAAGAGAAACAGAGGATTCAAGGATGACTCATTTTTTGATTGTCATTGTTTTTGGTCTGGCCAGCTAAAAAGGAGAATGTATTACCTACTAAGATGTGGAAGGCCTGGGAGGAGCAAGTTTTGAAGAAAGGTCGAGAATTTATTTATTGCTGTATGTATTAATCAGGGTTCTTCAGATAAGTAGAACCAATAGGGTAGATACGCAGTGAGAGAAGTAGTGAAAGGTGGAGAAAGAGAGTGAAGAGTGAGAGACTGAGAGAGAGAGAGACTGTTTTAAAAAATGGCTTAAGGGTTTGTTAGGATGAACAAATCTAAAATTTGCAGAGCAAGCCAGGTACATTGGCTCACATCTGTAATTCTAGCACTTTGGGAAGCTGAGGCAGGAGGATTGCTTGAGCCCAGGAGCTCAGGGCCAGTCTAGGCAACACAGCAAGACCTCATCTCATATTTATTTTTTTTTAATTAGCTGGGCATGGTGGTGTGTGTCTGTGGTCCCAGCTACTTGGGAGTCTGAGGAAGGAGGATCACTTGAGCCCAGGAGGTTGAGGCTGCAGTGAGCTCTGATCACAAACACTGCATTCCAGCCTGGGTGACAGAGTGAGATCCTGTCTCACACACACAGAAAAAATAATTAATTAATTAATTTAAAAAACTAAAAAGCATAAACAATTAAAAAATAAAGAATAAAATAAAATTTACAAAGCAGGCCAACAGGTTGGAAATTCTGACAAGAGTTCATTTTGTAGTCTGAAGGCAGTCTGGGGGCAATATTCACTCCTCTTCAGTGAACCTCAGTCTTTTGTATTAAGGCCTTCTAATGATTGTATGAAGTCTACAAACAATATGAAGGGTAATTTGTTTTTACCAAAGTCTACTGATTGAAATGTTAATGACATCTAAAAAGTACCTTTACAGCAACATCTAGTGTTTGACCAAACAACTGGATGCCATAACCTAGCTAAGTGGACATGTAAATTGACCATCACAGCATAGTAAGTTTTGGATGCCTACTAGACATCTAAGATAAAATTTCAAATAGCCTGTTAAATACACACATCTAAATATCAAGAGAGGAATCCAGGCAAGAGACATACATTCTTGGATTCATCAGAACACAGATGTCAGTGAAGCCTTGGCTCCTGGTTCCGCAGACTGTACAAGAAGCATGGTGTCAGTATCTGCATCTGGTGAAGTCTCAGAAAGTTTTCAGTCATGGCAGAAGGAAAAGGGGAGCAGGCATGTCATACAGCAAGAGAGACAGCAAGAGAGAGAGGGGAGGGAGGTCCAAGATTATTTTATAACCTGATTTCTAATGAGCTAGTAGAGGGGAGGACTCACTCTTTACTCTTTACTGCAGGGAAGGCACCAAGCCATTCATGACCCAAACACCTCCCACAAAGCCCCACCTCCAACACTGGGGATCACATTTCAACATGAGACTTGGAGGGGACAAAATATCCAACCAGTATCAAATGCTTTACCCAATTTAGCACAGTGCCCAATTTATTAAAGTAAGTTTTCAAACACTTCTTTAAAAATAGGTGATATCTCTCTATTCCTGATGACTTAAATAAGATGAATCAATTTTACCCCAAAACTGTGTATGCTGCTTGAATGCTACAGAAAAGAAAGAACTAAAATATATTTTAAAAATATCTAAAACCATTAAAATGTCTCCTGGTGATATTTAAAATTAGAAATAGGGCACTACTTATTTAAGTAGTATATTAATAATGTGGGAATTGGTTGAATCTTTACCTCTTGTGGTTCTGGAACTTTCCCCTTGCAATTGTATATATCTGTAGATGACTTACATTATCCTTAACTGAGGGAAAAAATGTGTTATGGAAGTATTTTTGATTCTGGTTAATGCACTTTATATAAAATGCCAAACGTAAATTATTAGAGGTAAAGATGAGGCTTTGAAATTTTTATGAAATATTTCGGTCCAGAACTTGGTTAACCCAAATCCTGTCCTGCTGATCATGCATTCTCCATCTGGAGTTCCTGAGAGGCTCTACATCTGAGTATCAGAGTATCACTTTGATAATCACTATTTAATGTCTTACAGTATAGTACAGACCTTTGGACAAAGGATGAGGTGGTACAAATGGAGTAGACACAAGGCCTGATGAGAACTTTTTAATTTATTTTCCCCTTAATGTGTGTCTTACTACTGGTATAAACAAGCATGCTTGCAGGAAGGAGAAAGAGATGGCTAAAACAAAATCAATTTATCCATTATGGATTAGAGTCCATGTATAACAGAGAGAAAGAGCTATTTTCACTATAGATAGCTTCAGATTTATGGCTCAAAAACTATGCTGCTGGATTGTGTCAAACAGTTTAGTAAAAATGAAATATTATTCTCTCATTTGGCATAAGACATCATGTTGCTCGGGCACAATGAGTGATCCTAAAAATATAATATGGTTATAGCTTCTGTTAATCAAGAATGAGGTAACCAGCAGCTTCTGAAAACAAAGACTGGTAATGATGGAGATCTCCCTTGAGACATAAATCTCATCTGTGATCAAAAGAAGAGTAGCCTTGGCTCCTTTCTGGGGATCCCTGGCAGCCATGATTTTTAAGACACATTAACAAACAACTCTGTGGCAGCAGGAACTTCCTGGGAAGACAACAGTAGAAGGACCAGAGTAGAAGATGGGGGAAAATATCGAATACCTAAGAACACAGAGGAAAATATCAGATACTCAGAAAAATATCCAATGACTAAGAAATAACTCAGAAGACAGCAGGATTTCACTAGAGTAGATGGGGATAGAATCTAGAAATACGTAATTTTATTGTTATAAGATATATTTCGTAATCTTTCTCCCTGAAATTGGAAGCAATGCAAACACAGGGCTGCTGCAGCCTCTATTCCAGAAGGCAACCTTTCTACCCTGTAGTGTAGTGGCCCTATTTTTTTTTTTTTACTTCTCTTTTTCCCCACCTTTCTCAATTGCTTTTAATTCACCAATTATATATTAAATCTCTACCATATGTTCAGTGTCAAACTATATGCCAGTGTAAATAATTGGTATTACCCTTCACACATGGTATGTCTAGGTCCAGAAATATACAAATATATGAGTAATATGAATTGTTTAATATTATAAAATCTTCCTCAGCTGCCATGTTCAGTGGTTGTAAATATACTGTGGAACTATGAATGGAAAATAGGTGGAAACAAATAAATGTATGCTCAGCAAATTAAAAAATTCTAACCATGTTCTTACTGCTAAGAACTTTCTACCTGCATATATTCCTGGAGTGTCAAACCTGAAAATGATCTTCTGCAACATCAGTTTATTTATATTAATTTGTATCTATTAGACTTAGGAAAATAGTATAAAAACAGGAAGGAATTCCATGAGGGACTAAATGAAATATAAATTCGTAATATTTTTTATACCTATAAAAATGAGGCCAGGTGCAGTGGCTCATGCCTGTAACTCCAGCACTTTGAGAAGCCGAGGCAGGCGGATCACGAAGTCAAGAGATTGAGACCATCCTGGCTAACATGGTGAAACCCTGTCTCTACTAAATGTACAAAAATTAACTGGCAGTGGTGGCATGAGCCTTTAGTCTCAGCTACTCAGGAGGCTGAGGCAGGAGAATCGCTTGAACCCGGGAAGCAGAGGTTGCAGTGAGCCGAGATTGCTCCACTGCACTCCAGCCTGGCGACAGAGCAAGACTCCATCTCAAAAAAAAAAAAAAAAAAAAAAAAAAAAGCAAGGATGTCAAATTTGGGAACTATTTTCTATTTGAAACTTTCCTTCTGTCTCTAAACAAGTTTAAAAGCAGCACCCCCACCTCTCAAATGCCCTTAATAGACAATGTAATATAAATAGGTACTACAACTCACTAGGTTTGATTCCTGTAGAAGATGAAAAGTGACTGCTCCACGGCAAGCCACTATGGGAGATTCTTTAACAAACTCAAATGGATTCGAGAGGGAAAATTGTTGATGCAAAGCTGTTTAATGAGTTCTGTTACTGTGAAGTGAAATCAGTCCTCCCAAGGATCATTCACTGTGAGAGGCAGAATGGAAACTTCCTAATGTCATAAATTGTTATACCGATATTTATAGCAAAGGCAACATAGAACTCTGGAGTTTGAATTAGTTTTTTTCTCTCCAAGAATACATTTTTAGTATTAGCTGTTTGTTTCAACCTGGGAAGTTTTAGAAGTTATTTCTATCTGGGCATTTTCTTAGCTTGACAGTTTAGGTAAGAAGTCTGTGTGGCTATGCCAGTAGCATATCTCTTTGTGACAAGAACATGCATCATTCTTTGGCTGAGCAAAAGACAAAATTATTTACTCAAGATAAGCAAAGATTATTGGAAGGCTGAAATTGCAAATGATGAAAGTTCTACCCATAGATTTTGTTTGCCCATGACTTTCATTCTGTCCTTGCAAATAAAAGAATAACTTGATATATTTCATTGAATAATCACATTTTATATTTCCAATTTACTTTATTAAAATATGATTTTAGTCCTTTAAATAAAGTTGAATTGAGAACAAAGAGAAAAAAATAATATCCAATAATGTCAGTTCAGATATTGTGGGTTAATTTAAGGATGAAATAAAACTATATAAATTTGTCCATGTCCCCATGAGTTTCTCAGTGTTTTGAGGTTTTGCTCAGATTCATTTACACATATGGAAAACTTTTTAATATCTACATAAGGGATTCACATTCGAAGGGATTTCATTTTATCCCTCAGTGAAATGAAATCCCTTCAAATGTGACTTCCTTACAAAGTCTGGCCATAGTCTTGAATTATCTTAGCTGCATTTTCTCTAAAGCGTCACTGTCCAACTGAAATATACTGTGAACCACAAATGTGAATATGACATTTAAATAGTCTAGTGGCAACATTGAAAAAATAAAACAGGAAAATAATTTTAATGTGATATAAACATTTAATATAACATATTTAATATATTTAATGTAAAAGAAGTATACTTAATTTTAATAAAATAATCTAGTTAACCAAATATAAATGTTAACTTTTCATCATGTAACGAATATATAAGAATGACCCATGATTTATTTTGTCTTCTTTAAAAGAGGTTTATAATCTTTGCTTACAGATATTTCAGTTTACACTAGCCACATCTGAAGTACTCAAAGCCAAATGTGGCTAGAAAGACTATTGAACAGAGACGCTGTATGGTACATATTCTTATTAGATAACTATTATTTAAGGAAGTAGCATAAGAAGATATTTTAAATGCTAATTTAAAATTCTAATGACAAAGCCATGTTTTATATGATATGTGTGAATAAAACATAGTCAGATCTTTTAAGTGAATGTTTTCTTTGTATATAGAGAGAGCTGTTTCTGTCTGTGGAAAATTTCTGCTGAGGAAAGAACTAACAAATGACAAAAAGAACGGCTTTGCCTGGGACAGTAGCAGAGGAAACTAAGAAAAAGGATGTCCTAAAATGAGTTAAGAAAATTTTTACTTAGACCCTGGACATCATAGATTATAAAAGGAGCATTTAATGACAAAAATATCATAATGTCTCAATGTACAGTGAATCAATAGTACCTTGTGGGACTGTTGTCTGATACTAATTGAAACACAGTATTTGAAAGCTACAGTTGTTTGGTTTGAGTATGACTGTCTTCATCAGCAAGAATACCTTACATAGTGTCTGTTCTATTTGCTATTTTTTTTCTATTCTTAACTTTTATGGGTTTATCTTTGGCAAAAGCTGATTTTATAAGGAGAAAATCTATAAATTGCATTCATGGTTATGCCAAACTCCTCAGGTACAACTATCAAATACCAGCACTTTCCAGGGAAGATTGTCTTCAGGATCTGATCATTCAGCATTTTACCAGAATTGTTGTTGGAATCTATGGAGCCACAGTCTCTGTTGGACTCTATATAACTTTCCTCCAACCTGGTCAGAACCATAGCTAATCAAGTAATAAGACATTATGACAAGAAATACCCCTTACAAAGACAACCAAAAGAGTCAGCATCCAGTATTGTTAAAAACAGTTCCAAGTGTAACCAAATGTTTTTACTTCTCAATATTTTTTTAAAGTAGCATTATTATATGTAAAATATAAGCTTTGTATGGCAGTAGTTTTTGCATTAAGCCAGAACTTACTATTTTTCCTGAAAATACTTACTAATGTACAGAACTTTTTTATTATAAAATAATGATTGGATTAGAATGTATCCTAATGACTTTCAAACATTTAATTTTATTATTTTCTAAAATGTTATTAATTTTGCCACAGATTATTCTGCCTTAGTGTACTGTCAAGATAAATTATCAGCAGATAGGAAAACAAAAAAAAAGAAGTCAAATTTTTTAAAAAAATAAAGAGAAACTATTGACATGGCTCCTAGAAGTCTGTTGAATCCAATTATTGCTTTGTAGTCACTTTGTTACTTCTTGTTTGCCTCAGTTTTATATTTCTTTTGTCTAGGAGGGTGTATTTTTAAAATATATATAGATAAGGATAAATATAAATTAAAATTGAGAACCTTAAAATGCATATGCACACTCACTTGTACAATGGGATGATTAAAAATGTGTTTAAATGATGGAACATAGGTAGCTGATACATCTAATATTTAAGACCTCACCTTTACTTCATTGGTACCAGTCACTAAGATAAAAGGCATATTATTTATTCCTAAGATCAATTTAAGTGATTTGAGATTCTGACTAATAGATTATGATTAATCGTCTGTAGAAAGGGATTGTGTTGAGTCTGCACTAATGGGTACTCTACCTTGTCTAACATCCCTGAAAGGTAAAACATGAGCATCTTCATCTGAATGGAAGAGAGAAGTAGAATCGTTGGGGAATGAGTGGAGAATGAAGATAGTGCCTCTGAAATGCAGATAGCTTTCTGTGGAATTAATCAGTGAACAAGTTCATAAAAAGGAAAAAGGCAGAGATGAATGAGGGGCTCTAGCAGAAACTGCAATTGGGTAGAGGTGCTGGCCCCTAAAAGGGTTTATTTAATAATCTAATTGACTGTTTTCCAGAGAGGAGTTATGGGTTTGCCAACTTGCATGAGGTGGCAAGGGGTAGTTGGATAGATGGATGCTAGACAATTCTAGAAACGTATCTAGGCATTAAAAATGATTTTGAATTTGCTTACAAATGCTTACTTTCAACTAAGTACTATTGTGTACTCTGCTAAAGTATAATTTTTACGTTGTTTTTGTTGCTGCTGTTTTGTGAGGGGAGGGAAGGATCTAATATTATAGTTTCTAATGTAATTCTAAGGTACTTACCTTTTCACTAGCAATGACATTTCTAGTAACCTAGCCTTCAAAATTGCTCATTCTCAGAGGTATATTCATAACAGTATTTATTATAGAATTATTTACAATGAGCATAAATTGAAACTAAAAAATTAGGTAACTCTTTATAATAGAACACTATTCCACCTAAATGAAGCACATGTAGTATATGTTGAAAATTAACTCAACCATTTTTCATTTCCCTTTTAAAAAGATAGATAAGTGGTTGATTCAGTAATTGATAGTGTATTTGGCCATTTTTGCATTGCTATAAAGAAATACCTGAGACTGGGAAATTTATAAATAAAATGGTTTAATTGGCTTATGGATCTGCAGAGTGTACAAGCATAGCACGGGCATCTGCTCAGCTTCTGAGGAGGCCTCAGGGAGCTTTTACTCATGGCAGGAGGTGAAAGGGGAGGAGCCATGTCACATGGGAAAAGCAAGAGCAAGGAAGAAAGGGGAAGGCGCCACATATACCAAACAACTAAATCTCGTGAGAACTGACTTAATACCATGAGGGCAGCACTGAACTAATGAGGGATCTGCCTCCATGACCCAAACACCTCTTACCAGGTGCCACCTCCGACACTGGAGATGACATTTCAACATGAGATTCTCACCAGGTGCCACCTCCGACGCTGGAGATGACATTTCAACATGAGATTCTCACCAGGTGCCACCTCCGACGCTGGAGATGACATTTCAACATGAGATTCTCACCAGGTGCCACCTCCGACGCTGGAGATGACATTTCAACATGAGATTCTCACCAGGTGCCACCTCCGACGCTGGAGATGACATTTCAACATGAGATTCTCACCAGGTGCCACCTCCGACGCTGGAGATGACATTTCAACATGAGATTCTCACCAGGTGCCACCTCCGACGCTGGAGATGACATTTCAACATGAGACTCTCACCAGGTGCCACTCCGACGCTGGAGATGACATTTCAACATGAGATTCTCACCAGGTGCCACCTCCGACGCTGGAGATGACATTTCAACATGAGATTCTCACCAGGTGCCACCTCCGACGCTGGAGATGACATTTCAACATGAGATTCTCACCAGGTGCCACCTCCGACGCTGGAGATGACATTTCAACATGAGATTCTCACCAGGTGCCACCTCTGACGCTGGAGATGACATTTCAACATGAGATTCTCACCAGGTGCCACCTCCGACGCTGGAGATGACATTTCAACATGAGATTTTCACCAGGTGCCACTTCCAACACGAGATGACATTTCAACATGAGATTTGAGTGGGGTCAAACATCCAAACTACATCATTCTGCCCTTGGCCCCCACAAAATTCTTATGCTTCTCACATTGTTAAATACAATCATGCCTTCCCAATAGTCCCCCAAAGTCTTAACTCACTCAAGAGTTAATTCAAAAGTCCAAAGTTTAAAATCTCATCTGAGACAAGGCAAGTCTTTTCCACCTATAAACTTGTAGAATAAAAATTAACTTATTTACTTACAAGATACAATGAGGTTATAGGAATTTGGTAAACATTCCCATTCCCAAATGGAGAAATCAGCCAAAAGAAAGGGGCTGCAGGCCCCATGCAAGTTCAAAACACAGCAGGGTAGTCATTAAGTCTTAAAGCTCCAAAATACACTCCTTTGATGAAATGTCCCACATACAGGGCACACAGCTGCAAGGGGTGGGCTCCCAGGGCTTTGGGCAGCTCTGCTCCTGTGTCTTTTCCGCACTGAAGTTTCAAGCTGCTGTTGGCACCACCCGTCTGGAGTGTGGAAGATGGTGGCTCCCTTCCCACAGCTCCACTAGGCAATGTCCCAGCTGGGACTCTGTGTGGGAGTTCCAACCCCGCATTTCCCCATAGCACTACCCTGGTAGAGTTTCTCTGTGAGGGCTCTGCCCCTAAAGCAGGCTTTTGCCTGGTAACCCAGCCTCTCTCATACTTTCTTTGAAATCTAGGGTGAGGTTGCCAAACCTTCACTCTCGCAGGGTGCATGCCTACAGGCTTAACACTACGTGGAAACCACCAAGGCTTATGGTGGCTTATGCTCTCTGGAGTGGCCCAAGCTGTACTGTGAGGCCTCTGAGCAGTGACTGGAACCACAGCAGCCATTATGATAGGAGGAGCCTCCTGAGGTAACACTGGGCAGTAGCACTCTGGGCCTATTCCCATACCACCAAAACCATTCAGTCCCCCTGGGCCTCTGATGGGAGGGGCTGCCTAGAAGATCTCTGAATGCCTTGGAGGCCTTTTTCTCATTGTCTTGGCTATTAGCACTTGACTCCCTTTTAGTTATGCAAATTTCTTTAGTAAATGATTGCTGCACAACCTACTTGAATTCTTCTCCTAAAAATGGGCTTTTTGTTTCTACCCCACAGCCAGGCTGCACATTTTCCAAATTTTTATGCTCTGCTTCTCTTTTAAATATAACTTCCAAATTTAAGTCATTTCTTTGTTCCTGCATTTGAAGCTGGCTGTTAGAAGCAGCCAGACAACTTCTTGAATGCTATGCTGCTTAGAAATTTCTTCTGCCAGATACCCTAAATCATCTCTCTGAAGTTCAAACTTCCACAGATCCTTAGGGCATGAACAGAATCCAGCCAAGATGTTTGCTGAGGGATAACACACATGACATTTGCTCCAGTTTCCAACAAGTTCCTCATTTCCATCTGAAACCTCAGCAGCCTGGACTTCACTGTCCATATCACTATCAGAATTTTGGTCACAACTATTTAAGCAGTCTTTAAGAAGTTCTAAACTTTCCCTCATCTTCCTGTCTTCTTCTGAACCCTCCACACTGTTCCAGCCTCAGCCCATTAACCAATTCCAAAGCTGTTTCCACATTTTCAGCTATTTTTATAACAATGCCCTATGCCTTGGTACCAATTTTCTGTATTGGGCTGTTCTTGCTTTGCTATTAGAAATACCTTAGACCGAGTAATTTATAAAGAAAATAGGTTTACTTGGCTCTTGGTTCTACAGGTTGTACAAGCATAGTGCTTGCGTTTGCTTGGCTTCTGGGGAGGCCTCAGGCAGCTTTTACTCATGGCAGAAGGTGAAGCAGGAGCTTGCACACACATGGTGAGATGAGGGGTTCAGGGGTAAGAGAGGTAGGGGAGGTGCCACACACTTTTAAACAACCAGATCTTGCAACGACAGCACCAAGCCATGAGGAAACCATTCAGATGACCAAAGCCCCTCCTACCAGGCCCCGCCTCCAACGTTGGTGATGTTAGAAATGCTCGTTTCCCAGTGCCGTAAAGAAATAGCACTTGAACATAAATTTAACTTCCTCAGCAAGGCCATTTTTAGACTTTCTGCAGAAAGGATACACTCGCCAGCAGTTTTGCCATGAGAGTATATTGAACAAAGGAGACTGGGTTATTTATAACCTGATCCATCCACTCTACTTCTGTGTCCAGTTTTTATTGGCTGAATCGGACCTTATATTTAGATGGAGAGGAAAGTCTCTTTGAAGAGGAACCTCTACTTTACTTTTTACAGTGATTACATTTCTAGATGAGATTTGGGCAGCAACAAATATTCAGATTATATCAGGTAGCGACATAAGAAAAGTAAAGGGAAAAGCAAAAAGGAGTGAAGAAATGTACAGAAGGGAGAAAAAAAGAAACACCGAAAAAAGAAATAGAAATGATAAACTTTAACCGTAATTATTTTAGTGAATAAAATTTTAATAAATAAAGGAGGGCATTTTGTAGTTTTTTGCTTTATACATTTAAGGAATTTTTTTTTCCTAAGCTTTTCTTACTAGTTTTAAAATATATTAAAAAAAATTAAAAATTGTATACGTGCATCTGCTTTTCTTATTTGGAGGCTACTGTAATGTTTAAACTGCATTTTATTTATTAATATACTCCTTGTGTGAGAAAGGAGGCTCACAAGGCTATGTAAAATTCAACAAGCTAGCATAAATAAAATGTTTGGAAAAAATAAATGACAAGGCAATATGTGATCTTAAAACAGAGTGGTAATGAGGTTTAAAAATATATAACATTATGTCCAAAAATGAGATTCCATTATGTCTGGCATGTAAGAAGAGCTCAAAAGAAGACAGATTTATTTTATGTGCTTAATAATAAAAGCTAATTGATGTATTCTAGACACAATACCCACAGTGTCCTCAGGACTTTAAAAATCTCATGCATATTTTACAATTAAAATAAACATTAACTAAGTGAATGGCTTATATGTCCCTTCCCCAGCATGTAATCTTGTCTAGAACCTTCGTTTGGTTCACTTTGTCAGTAAAACACAGGGAAACATAAACTTCTCAGAAGAGGCAACAATTAAGTTGGAAATGTTGACAAGGTAAGGTAGATATGGGACAAATACTTATTAGCAGTCATACAGAATCTTGAATGACACTTGGGGTTTTCACACTCTGTTGAAAAAGTAACGCCTATAGTAGAATGTTCACTTCTTGTTTTCATCATCTAAAAATGTATATGAGCAACCTGGAGCGTGTTTAGAGGAGTGTGACTGGAAGTGGAAAGACACTTTTTATGACAAGCGCTAAAAGAAAGCAGTTCGTTTTGGAGGCCTTGGAAAAAGAGCAGGGACACAGGTTCTGCGTGGTATTCTTTTGCAAATACCTGAAACCACTAGTTGGGAAATAAATTAAATGAATTAATAAACTAGGAACTGTAGTTTGAAGTTAGATGGAGTGGATTTGGAACCGATTTAAGATTTTTTAATGAGCAGATGATTGATGAAATTAATTGTCACACAAATTGATGTTTGCTATTAATATTTAGCTTTAACTGAATGAATACAAGGTCAGTGCTCAAATATTGGAAATGTTCCTGGACTAGACAATTCTAAGATTGCTACAATGCTGCCAGATCCACCGTTGGACTTTCCTTAATTCTTATTCAATAATTAATGAATATGAAATTAATCTTCATAATGTAACATTATGAAGCACAGAAACATAAAAACAAGTTTATCTGTGAATGTATCATAGAGAAAAATGAGATTTAACATTTAAAACAGTGGATAATAGTAACATTGAGGCTCCTTTACATCTCGATAGATTTTTAATGTCTTTGTCCGTCAAAGTATTCAAGTATTTGTGGAATTCAGCTATGTACCAGAAATAAAGTAGATCAGGTAATACAAACAAACAATTTAATATATTTCAGGAGAAAAATTAGAAAATATTCCTCCTTTTACAACACGTATAAAGAAACAGCTAAATTGATAATCTCAGGTTTTTGCTTTGTATTGAATTTTCTACCCGAAAAGCCTTGGGCAGTACTTTTTCAAGAATGATGTTCTTTTCATATTTGACTTTAATAAAGACAGCACATTGCCCGCGTCCATAAAATGGTAGATGAGCAAATTGCTCTGTGTTTTACTGCTCACTCGACTCCTACATTCATAGTATTTGACAAGTAGGACTTAAATGGGAACACTTCTTTTTTTCTTGGAGAGGGCAGTTACTCTGAAATCTTAAATGAATCATATTGGAGTAAGGTGACATAAATTTCCCTCCTCATTTATTAAGATCCAATCTGCATGCAGTACTCTGCCAGACACATTATATTAGGTTGGTTAAACAGATATGATACTAGCTTCTTAAGAGAATAAAAATCAGATGATATCAACATAGAGACCCAGGGTTATTATTCATGACAGTGCCCTGTGATTCTTCATGAACTAATATAGCTCGCGAAAGCGAAGGGATCCAGGAATTCTGTGATAAATATGAGGCAGTTTGTCCTGACCAGAGATCTAAAGATTGAAAACAGTCATGAGAGGCTTTTTGAGAGTCTGGAGGACAAGTCCATGACTGTAAGGAGGTCATGGAGAAACAAGCAAGTACTGTTACCTGAGCATCGGTTTGAGTAACAAGGAGTAGACGACGAAGTGAAAGGACCGAGGGATAAAATGTTGGTGCCCATGGGGTAAGATAACCATATCATGCAGTCAGGAATCCCAACAGAAACTCTTGCATATTACTAGGTCAGGATGCAGATGAGGGAAAAAATAAACATGGACTGCAAGCATGAATTCTGATACTGCAGTGGTGTAGAGATAGCACTACCTACAGCATTCTGCCTAAAGCCAATGATCTCTGAGTGGGAATTGACAAAAAAGCACCACTCTTTAGAGCTTTAGGAATGAGAATCTAAAAGAATTTCTCACATCTCCGCTAGCCCTCTTGGACTCTCCATTGTGCTAATCATATTCAGTGCTGGTCTCTAACACTTCAGGGGTCTAACCGAATCACTTTTCTTGTGTTTGTGACCCAGCTTGCCCCGAATGCACACCCTTTGGATATCATCCCTCCATTCTTGGCCCAATATTGTCCCTTCACTCCTTGTAGATCTGAATTTAAAAGTAGAACAAGCAGGCACTTGCATCTGCCTAAATAGTCATGTGAACTACATTTTGAACACTAGTGTTCTGAATCTTCATTTCTGCAAGATATCTTTAAAGTGGGATTTGGAATTTTGTTAGAATTACATCAGAATTATTGATAATAAGGCAAATAAGCTGCTTTCCAAGGGAAACGGGAAATCTGTATACTGTATAGTGATAAAAATGATGCCATTAAACATCGTAAGTTAAGCTCTATAAATTACCCATACTCCAGATAGAAAAGCAAACCAAACAGAATTAACCCAGAAAAGGGATTTCAAATTATATAGTTAACATTTGTTTTCCTTTTTTCTACCCTGGGACTTATTGTTATCTATTAGTCACCTTCCTTAGAAAACATCAAGTCTGTGGATAAATACACTTAATAGTGTTAGCAGGAATGCTATTCATGACAGACCTCAACATGTTGACTCGTACTTTATTTAAGCTATTATGAGCTTGGCGAAAATCTGAAAGAAAGACGATGCAATTTATTTTAGGAAATACTTCTTAAAAGTAAAGATTTCAAATGTGGGAGATATTCATGAATAGAAAGAGTTGGTTTTGCTCTCATTGGTTCTGCTTGTTTTGCTACTGTCTAGCTATATGAGGGACTTTAGGAAAGCCATTCCTAATAAGGTGGGTTTTAGTTTTCTCATCTGTGACATTAAGGAATTAGAAATGATCATGTAAAGGGACCATTTCCTTCTGTTATACTATAGATTGTTATTGATACACAAAATGATTGGTTAATTCAAGTTCAATTTTGTTAACCTGAAATATTTTGAATTACTTTTGAGAGATCCTTGTTTAAAAGCCATAGGCAATTTTGTGTGTGTGTGTGTGTGTGTGTGTGTGTGTGTGTGTGTGTCTTTTAGCTCAGTGGTTATCAATGGGGCAATGTTCCCTTTCAGCAGGCATGAAACAATGAGATATTATTGATTGTCACAGATATGGGAGAGCTACTGCATTGAGTGGGTAGAGACTACAAATGCTGCTGAACGTCTTCTATGCACAGGAAAGCCGTCCCTTAACAAATAATTATTTGGTCCAAAATGTCAGTAGTGCCAAGATTGAGAAATCGTGCAACTAGTTATGGTCCAGATTGATGGCATACCTCATCCTTCATGATATAGTGATCCAAGTGCCTTGTCATCTAAACCAAACAGAGCAGAATCTCCAACTCTCCCTGCCCTGAGAAAAGGGACTCTATTTTCTGTCAGACAGTAAGGATTGGAGACCGTATTTGCTCTCGTGCTTGAGAGCCCACATCATTATTGGGTTAACAGTCATAGCTAGAGAATTCAGTCTGTGTATTTTTTTTATTAGTGTTATTTTCCCTTTCTCGTAATGTAACAATTTTTATAAATGTTTCATGGGCTATGAAAGAAGGGCATTTTTCATTTTCATGCCACTGCTTTAGCAATGTATAGATACAATCAATATTATGGATTGTGATTTAGGTGGGTGTTCTATATATTTACAGTCAATTAAAAACCATTGAAGAGCTTTTCATTGATTTCATTAATTTCTATTATCTTAATAATTCTATATTCAGGCAGGGCTACTTTAGCTATTTGTGTGTATGTGTGTTTCCGTGTGTGTAAATGTATAAATACATGTACATGTGTGTGTGTGCATATACATATAAAATCAAAGGCATACCTAGACCTAAACAAAATATTCTGTTCTCATGATGTAATTAATCTCATAAGCAAGATACCATTCTCTGTGTGACACAGTTTTTTTTTCTAGTTAGAATTCACATTCACTAAATGTTTAACACTCTCTTGATTTCACTTTAAAAATAGAACATCAGGCTCACATATGGCTGCTCTCTACACTAGAACTACCCTCAGGGGTGCACAAATTGAATACACTCAGTATTTTTCTCCTGGAGTTTTTTAAAAACTCCATTTATTTCCTTAAACTTTTGAGACAACAGGGCTGATGTTTTCTGTAATGAAGTTAGCTAAATGAGCTTTTTATTGAAATTTATTCAATAAGATTCATTCTTCATGTGTCAATCAGATATCACGATTACCATGCTCAAATCCAAATTCAAATTTTTGTTTTATGAGATTTCCTACACTTCTGGAGACTTGAATTCTGGTCTTCTCTAACAGTCATTATCTATTTATCTTTAAATAAATAACTTCTGTACACTGTGGATTGCTTTATTTATACTTTGGTAATAGTTTTCTGCTCAATTTGACCCAGAGATAGGCTCAGGTAGTAATATTAAGGGCTTCTGAAAAATATCAATTACTATACATATATGAGTAATGGTGGTAGTATAATTTACACATTAGACAGCAAAGCAAATCAACAAAAACTAAATTAAATAGGGCAAAAAGATGCTGTGGTACGAAATTTTCTGGATAATTTTAGTTTTAGATCATGTTGTTAATTTATAATTGAGAATTTGATAAATTAGTTCAATCTTCATTACCAACCATTTGAAACACTGGCTGATATCATGGCCAGGTAAATTGTGTCCTTTTTTTATTAAACGTAGTTGACTGAACACTTGCTTTTCACACATTGAATTGGGTCCTGGCAATACTTGGATGAATCAAATTGTTTCCATATCCTTGAGAAACTGCCAGTGCAGGCAAAATAGGGTAACAGATGTAATAATAAATGCATGCACAGCATAGATTGGAGCAAATGGAAGCACTGACAAACTCTTCTTTTTTAAAAAAAATAATTTTCATTTTTTTGCTGATCCATAATGTGGTACATATTTTGGAGGTACGTGTGATAGTTTGATGCATGTATATAAGATTTAATGCTCCAATTAGAGTAATTGGGATATTTATCACCTCAAGCTTGTATCTTTTCTTGGTGTTGGGAACGTTTCAGTTCTTCTCTTCTTGCTTCTTTGAAATATATTTTTAAAATGTTAATTATCATCCACCTACTATACTGTCAATCACTAGAACTTATTCCTTCTGTCCGCATTTTTGTAACCATTAACCAACTTCTCTTCATCCCTCCCTCCCCAATACCCTTCCCAGCCTCTGATAACCACCATTCTACCCTCTATCTCCATGAAATCCACTTTTTTAGCTTCCACATGAGTGATAAAATGCAATATTTGTCCTTATGAGATTAGTTAATTTCACTTAACATAATGGCTTCTAGTTCCATCCATGTTTCTGCAAATGACAAGATTTTATTCTTTTTATGGCTGACTAATATTTCTATACACATGCACACATATATATATATATATATATATGTATCACATTTCTGTATTCATTCATCTGTTATTCCATATATTGGCTATTGTGTATAGTGCTGTAATAAACCTAAGAGTGCAGATATCTCTTCAACATGCTGATTTCCTTTCTTAGGCTGTGTACCCAGCAGCGAGATTGAATAATATGGTAGTTTTATTTTTAGTTTTCTGGGGAAGGAACACTATATTGCTTGTTTTTCATAGTGGCTGTACTAATTTACATTCCCACCAACAGTGTGCAACAGTGTGCGAGAGTTACCCTTTCTCCACATCCTCGTTACCATTCATAATTTTTGTCTATTTGATAACAGCTCTTTTAACTGTGATGAGATGGTGTCTCATTGTGGTTTGATTCTAATTTCCCTGATGATTAGTGATGTTCAACATTTTTTCATATGCCTGTTGACCATCTTTATGTCTTCTTTTGAGAAATGTCTGTTCGGGTCCTTTGCCAATTTTTAATTGGATTATTATTGATTTTTTTTGCTATTGAGTTGTTTGAGTTCCTTATATATTCTGATTATTAATGCCTTATTGTTTGGATAATTTGCAAATATTATCAAATTCTGTTGGCTGGCTCTTTACTTTGTTGATTTGTTTCCTTTGCTCTGCAGAAGCTTTTTGGCTTGATTTAATCCCATTTGTCTATGTTGCTTTGCTTTTGTTGCCTATCTTACACAAAAAATCTTTGCCCAGATTAATGTCCTGAAGAATTTCCCCAGTGTTTTCTTCTAGTAGTTTCATATGTTCATGTCTTACATTTAAGTCTACAATCCACGTTAAGTTGATTTTGTATATGGTGAGAGATAGGGGTCAAGTTTCATTCTTCTGCATATGTATATCTCATTTTCCCAGCACCATTTATTAAGGAGCCTGTCCTTTTTCCAATGCATGTTCTTGGCACCTGTCTAGTGGACAAACTTTTAATTTTTCTGTGAGTAAAAGCATTTGGACAGATGTTATTGGGAGTGGTAATATCATTCTTTGTTTTACAAAACAACTCTGTTAATAGTGGAAATGTTAGGTCAAAAGGGTGAAAAATGTTTTTCAGAGATATCAATAAAAGTCTATTGCAATGCAAAATAATGTATTGGGTATGGAATAGTTACAAAAATCTTTGTGATCTTGATTAAGAAGTGATCATTCTACAAATAGTGACATGTTGAACATATACCATGTTCTTACCTCTGTGTTTGTCATCTCATATAAACTAAGTGCAATAGATAAAATTTGGTTTAATTTGTCTCTACAAATTTAATTGTAAGAGTTTAGGATTTGGGATATCATTAACTCTTTTAAATCTAGAGACAAGCACATTGCAAAAAGATTTTTTTTTTAATTATCAGGTATTAAAGACAACTGAGAAGTGTTATACTGAAATACTTAAATGACATAATTTAAAGATTAAAATATTGAGGTAAGTGTTAGGGTATAGGTCTCACTTAGAAAGTACCTGATTTTTGTTCATTGGATTCTTAAGCACACTCATTAGAACTCAAATATTAGACATAATCAATCAACCACTTTTAAACATTATTTATTGAGGCCCATTTAGAATCTTGGCAAGGTATGATGCTGGATGTTACAGAGAATAGGGTGGGTATTGAAAAACAACAATAATGAAAAATAGGACAGGAACAAACACTTGGGAGTTTAAAAAATATGGAAAGCTATTGGTCTAATTTGAAATTTTCTTTTTCTGGTTCTTTAAGATCATTCAGTTTATGTGTACAACTGTATTTTGAGGTAGAAATTGGGATATATATATGAGGCATTTTAAACTGAACCATCTTTAATTAATAATTTATTCTACCCCAATAATAATTAATATTCTAGCCTACCAATAGTAAATTCAAAATTGTGGTCTAACAGTATGTAAGATACTGCAATTTCACAAAGTATAAGATACAATATTTCTCAAAAAGAAGCATATAGTCTCATATCGGTAAGTAATCACCTGACTATGTGACGTTAAATCAGTGTCATTTATTGATAATTACACACCAAAGGAATGCAGCATTTTAGAGTCGTAAGAGACTTCCAAAATCCTCTAATCTGGCCTCTTACATGATTTCATGGAAAAGATGTTTGAATTAATTCAAAATAATGGATAATAGGGTGAAGACATTCCCTAATACCAGCAAGGAGATTTCTACTGAATTAACTCTCTTCTAGTGGATAGCTCAAGGGGCAACCTTTTTTATACATACAAATCACCCTTTGATTGTAACCTCTTACGTAAGTTTTCAGCATTAGAGAAGAAATATATTTGCCTATTTCTAACTTTATAGAGAGGATTGAAATTGACCCAGTGCTCCATCTCATCTCATGCCATTCAAATCACTACACAGATTCCGAAAAGGAGTCTATGAGGATGAAGTGGAGTGAAAATGATTAAAAGAGGAACTTGCTAGAAGTGGTTTAAGTTAAGTGTGTTACTCAATGATCTTCAGGTTGATAAGCTCAACTTTAGTATTATCTAAGTTATTTATGACAGTTTCACAGATAAACGTATATGTGGTGCTTTGAAAATTGAAAAACGATGCTGGATAGGAAAACAGGTGGCAACTGAAATATTCATAATCCAATGTCCCTTTACCTTAATCATGGACTAAACAACAGTTTACAGTACAGTGTGTGATTATATTAAGAATATGACTAAACATTTATGTTCATCTAGTAGAAAATAGGTGTGAATTTTGAAAGTGATAAATGACTACCTTGGTGGTATTGTAAGAGCTGTCACCAAAAATGAGCAAAAATGATACAACGTTTTGTTGTGTCTAAATTTTTATTCAAACAATATAATTTCTTTTGTAACATATGTCTCATTTTATTAAATTCATTTTATGTGCCACATATTGCCAAACAGCTCACATTCAAGTACTTCAGGAGAAAAAGTTGTATCTGCTTTGTATATTGAAAATAATCATAAGTTTCTTCATATGACTAGGGATTCAAGCTGAAAAAAATGAGAGATGGGCCTGTTAACGTGGATGAAATCTCAAATTAAACAAAAACCATGATTAAAAAATGGTGAGAGTAAGCACGTGAAAAGATGTTAAACATCACTAACCATTAGGAAAATGCAAATCAAAACCACAATGAGACACCACTTCACATTCATTAGAATGGCTGTCATGAAAAAAATATTGCAACAACAACAAAAATAACAAGTGTTAACAAGGATGTGGAGAAATTAATTGGAATCTTTGTGCATTGCTGCTGCGGAAGAAATGGTGCTTCCTCAAAAAAGTTTGCATAGAATAACTACATGATAAAGAAATGCCACTGCTATGTATGCTAGGTATATACTCAAAAGAATGGAAAACAAAGACTTGTACATATACTTGCGTGCCAATTATTATACCAACATTACTCTCAGTAGCCCCCCACTCCCCGAAAAGTAGAAACAACTCAGATGTTTATTGATGGATGAATAGAAAAACAAAATGTGGTATATACATGCAATAAAATATTATTTAGCCTTAAAGAGGAAGGAAATTCTGACACATGCTATCCCATAGATGAATCCTAAAATCATTATGCTAAGTGAAATAAAGCAGACACAAATGGACAAACAGTATGATTCCACTAACACTATGTACCTAACACAGTCAATTCATGGAAGCACAATGTAGAATAGTGGCTAAGATGGTCATGGAAGCACAATGTGGAATAGTGGCTAAGATGGTCATGGAAGCACAATGTGGAATAGTGGCTAAGATGGTCATGGAAGCACAGTGTGGAATAGTGGCTAAGATGGTCATGGAAGCACAGTGTGGAATAGTGGCTATGATGGTCATGGAAGCACAGTGTGGAATAGTGGCTAAGATGGTCATGGAAGCACAGTGTGGAATAGTGGCTAAGATGGTCATGGAAGCACAGTGTGGAATAGTGGCTAAGATGGTCATGGAAGCACAGTGTGGAATAGTGGCTAAGATGGTCATGGAAGCACAGTGTGGAATAGTGGCTAAGATGGTCATGGAAGCACAGTGTGGAATAGCGGCTAAGATGGTCATGGAAGCACAGTGTGGAATAGTGGCTAAGATGGTCATGGAAGCACAGTGTGGAATAGTGGCTAAGATGGTCATGGGAGCACAGTGTGGAATAGTGGCTAAGATGGTCATGGGAGCACAGTGTGGAATAGTGGCTAAGATGGTCATGGGAGCACAGTGTGGAATAGTGGCTAAGATGGTCATGGGAGCACAGTGTGGAATAGTGGCTAAGATGGTCTGGGGAGACGGAATAATGTGAAGTTATTATTTAATGAGTACGAAATTTCAGTCTGGAATGATGAAACGTGTCAGGACATAACAGTGATGATGTTTGCACTGCAGTGTGAAAACCCTTAACACCACTGAACTGTACACTTAAAAATGGTTAAAATGATCATTTTATGTTACATATATTTTATCACAACAAAAATAGAATATTTTAATCTTGACAAACGTAACCACAGAAAACAACTTACAAAATAGAATTTCAGAAATTTTTGCTAAATTGGAATACATGCTGTTTTATTTCTACGAGAAGATGGATAGTAGGTTATTTGGAGCTGAAGAATTATAATGCAGCTTCCCCAAATTGTGATCTCCTATGTGGCAGTGGTTAGAAACAAATAAAATTCTTATCTCTTATCCTTAAAGAAAATCGAAATTACCACACATGTATTTATTCAGATAGCTGTTCTGAGTTAGACGGCAAAATAGAGCTTTTATTAAAAAGTAGGATATATTAAATTTAAACATATATAATGTGTAGATCAAACATTCAAAAAGCAGAACTAATTAAAAACTGGATAAACATTTTAGACCATATTAAAAATTTTAGGCCGCCTTTCTAAAGTCTAGATTACATTGGATTACCATTGTAGAATTGAAGAGTGGTTGGTTTTGAATTTTACAGTTGTAATTGCAAACTTGCAAAAATATATATTTTAGGTGCTACTATTTCTTAATTTTCATTTTGTAAATTAACTAGCTCTTTTGAACAGCATTTTTTTTTCTTAGTATGATGCCTATGAGAAAAACTACCTGCCTTGGAGGAATTTGTAATAGAGAAAGATAATATGTGTGTGTGCGTGTGTGTGTGTGTGAGTGCATATGTAAATATTTCCATATATTATATGAAAAGTGAAGTTGAATAACAAGAGAAGTTTTTCTTTGCTAAGGAAAAAATACATTTGTTTTTCATTAAGTAAAGATTATTATACTGGCATTATTTTGTTCTTACATTGGTTTTCAGAAAGTTCAATGGCATATTCCGCTGTATGAGCCATGCAGAGCTGCATTTATCTACTGTATTATCTTCCTCCCTTTTTTCTAGATATTCCTTTTTTGTCTGTGTTTTTCTTCCTGCTGGTTTAGTGTTATGCATATCTTATTATTTTACTATGCAATTTCTTATCTTGTTGTACCCAAGCGAGTTAGTGAGAACGCCACACTATGAGATGAATCAAGAGTCCTTTATTAAGCCGGCGGCCAAAGAGACGGCTAACGCTCAAAATTCTCTCGGCCCCGAGGAAGGGGCTTGATTAACTTTTATACCTAGGTTTAGGAAGGGGAGGGGGACTCAAATGCAATAATTCTACAGAAGTAAAAACATGCAAGAATCAAAAGAAGCAAAATGGTTACAGAGAGATAAACAATTTAAAAGACAAATGGTTACAAAAAGAGCAACGGTACCAGGTGCAAGGCTCTAAATCTTTCATTATAATTAGATACAGGGAGTATGCCGGACAGGAACTCAAGGCTTTATGTTTTCTCTCTTTAAGAAAAATCCTGGGAACTTCATACATTGTTGGTGCTAGTACCTTATCAGTTCATTGGGCTCCTTTGAAATGCTGAGGATCTGCTTACACAGGTCAACTCCTGGCAGAAGCGGGTTGGGTAAGGAGCCCTTAGTGTCTTGTAAATTATGGGGTCAATTGGAGTTTTTCCGGCTTTCCCAGCTAGAGAGAGTCTTATTTACATGAGAAGCAAGGCTAGGTGATTAAAGAGACAAGCAGGATAAAATTCAAAGTAGCGAGTTAGAGTAAAAACAAGGTTAGGCATTTCAATCTTAACGTCAGAAGATTTTGAGGTTAAATAATAAAACCAAATCTAATAAAAGTAAATTATAAAATTGGTCACAGGAAAAAAAGGGGGAAATAGATAAATATAATGTAAAGAGCCAAAGGTGAGTTGAATATAGTGCTGTACTGAATCCCGAGTTGGGATTAACCTAGACTTGCAGCTGGAGTTCTTCAGCAAGCTGTGATGTCTCTGACCTAGATTTAGCTATTTGATATGAGATCTTGTAATAGGTGAATTTTGTTATGTGAAGTTGTGGGGGATGAAGTTGGAAAGGACTTTTTATGTGACCTAGAATCATCTGTTTGTCATTTGAAGTCAGATGAACTATTCTCTCTTCTGGGAATCTTTCCTACTTCTGCCTATTCATATTTAGGGTAAATGATTATTGTGTTTATCTGAGATGCCCTATGGTTATGTTTGAATATTACTTACCTGTCTCAACAATGTTTAATACGGTAGCCACTAGTCTATGTTAGACTATTGAGCACTTGAAATGTAATTATTTGGGGCTCTGAGTTTCTCAAATCACATGGTTGGAATAAATTTAGACTGCATACATGTGGAGGGACAGACCTAGTTATTTGATTCATCTTTCCCATGATGAATTTAAACTTTTAAATTTTTTTGTCAGACCTATGTCAAGACAAGTTTCTTTTTTCTTTCTTTCTTTTTTTTTTTTTTTTTTTGACAGAGTCTCGCTGTTTCCCCAGGCTGGAGTGCAGTGGCACGATCTCAGCTCACTTCAACCTCCACTTCCTGGGTTCAAGTGATTCTCCTGCCTCAGCCTCCTGAGTAGCTGGGCCTACGGGCGCACCACCATGCCCAGCTAATTTTTGTATTTTTAGTAGAGACGGGATTTCACCATGTTAACCAGGATGGTGTCGATCTCTTGACTTCATGATCTGCCCGCCTCGGCCTCCCAAAGTTCTGGGATTACAGACATGAGCCACTGCATCCAGCTGACAAGTTTTTTTTTTAAATTTGTTGCATTGGTTAAGTTTTTTTGTCTTCACTGTGCTTGTACTCTGTTAAGGTCCTAGATTTAATGCACAAGCCTCAGTTTTAACCAATTAGTTTTGGTAGGCCCAAAGCTCACTGGCTCTGTAAGAGGATCAGAATCTAATTCCTTGATCAGATATCCAGGTCCAGTGCTCCTCTGCTCCTACCCCTTGTCACCACGGCTCTTGCAATATATTATCTGTGTGTGTGTGTTTGTGTGTGTGTGTGTGTGTGTGTGCGTGTGTCGTTTCATTAGAAATCTCTAGGTGTTATTTTAGGATTGTTTCTGAGTTAGCGTAATTCCTGATTTGGGGGATCAAGAAGATTTTATTAACAGTATTCAGTGTCCAGTGGAATGTTGCTTAGGATTTGTAAGAGAGGAAGAAGATCAAAATAGTGCTTTCTGAAGATTTTTCTGGTTGTTTGCCTGTGAGCATATTACAAAGGAAAGACAGTCGAACAAGATGCCATTTATTTAATGGCTTTGATGATGAATGAGAGGAAACTTGTTTTAAACTGAACACAAATCTAAAGACAAATTTACTAAATATAATTTGTCCTTTTCAGATCTATGTACAGTTACTCTCCCTTACAACGATATTAAAAACTCTCACAGACATTTTTTTTCTCCCAAGAGGATTACATTATTGAGAAATGTAAGGGGCCTTAACACTTGCCGGAATAATTAATATTTTGTCCGTCATCTATCTAAGATGAGTTGTCTCGAACAGTTCTGTATCTCATGTGGCTTTAGTTTGATCTTAGAATACTGGCTTAGAAACCTAGGGATAGCATGGTCTGGATAAAAAGGAAGGTCTGTAACAATGATTGAGGCTATTGGTCTATATTGCAAAACATTTTGCACATTTGTACTTTTTAAAGTTTCTCTTTTTTATTTTACATTGATGCTAATAAAAAGGCTTTTAAAAAATTTACCATTATGTTCTAATAAAAGTCCTTGCTTTGATTTGGAAAGGCTAAGTTATGAGACAGCCACATAATTTTCATTAATATCAATCATGTGTACAAATATTTTAGCATGAATTCTTAAAAGCTTACCACGATTTGAGCACAGTTTTGTTGACTGATGCTTTCAACTTTCAAGGCAGAAGATATTCAAAAGTAGCAAATACCCTCTCCAGACTTTTTTCTCTGAATGTGAAAAGCCTATAATTAGCAAGTATTTTGTCACTTGGTAAGGGAAATGCTTCAGAGATAAACAACTCATGGACTGTGAAACACTGTAGCAGAATTCCAAACATTTAGATTTGGAAGTTTTTTATTCATTCGATATTTGAGTGCCTGTTAACGTGAATATGCAGTGCTGAATTGGACAGATTTTACTCTAATGGAATTAAGAATCTGGAAGAGAAGACAGACATTACATTTATGATTATAGATAGGATATACTGTAGGTAAGGAGAAGTGTTGAATTTTCTGAATGTTTATATCAAAGTAATTTAGGTCAAGATTATGATTCACAAAATGTGGTTCTCAGACAAGTAGCATTAACATCATCAGGAAGCTTCTTAGAAGTGCAAATTCTAGGCTCCACCCAAGACATACTGAGTCAGAAATACTGGGGATGGAACTCAGCAATCTGTGATTTAATGTTTTCTAGGTGGTGCTCATTGCTCAAGATTGAGAATAGCTGTTCTAGGTCAGAGTTTCTCAACTTGAGCACTATTGATATTTGGGCCAGAAAATTCTTTGTTACAGGAGTCTGTTTCGTGCATTGCAGTTTGTTTAGCAGCATTCCTGGCCTCTAACCATTAGATGCCAGTAGCATCCCCCAGTAGTGACAGCCAAAGATGACACCAGAAATTGCCAAATATCTCCAGAAGGCAAATTCTTATTAGCAGTTCCCTGCTTCCCCTCCCCCACATTGCCCCAGGCAATACTCAAATGACTTGCCCTGCCTTTTATCTTATCCTATAGTGTGTGGTAAGGTGCTCTGAAACAGGACAAAGGAATTCCACCATGTTTATTCATTATGAAAGAAGTAAATTTGAGCCCAAGACCAGAGATGGTCCAAGTTCTGGTCATTTTAGTCTTTCATTTTTTGCCTTGTTTTCAACCTATTTTTCTTCTCACTTCAATAAATACTCTTATATATTAATCCTGTTTTATCCTTAAATAGTAACACATTCTGTTTATGTTCTAAACTTAGTGATTTGATGAATCTCATGTAATTAACATGACGGTTAGACTCAGGCACCTGCACTTTCCAAAGATCTTTGAACATAATTAAGAAAGTGAAGGGCATAATTTTAATAGTAAATCAAAATATTCTCATTGATGAATTATGTTATAATAAGTCTCTGTCAATCACAGATTCTCTTGGGAATTTGTTTCTTTCCAAGAAGTGCTGAGTCTTTCTCTGTAGTTACTCATCTATTATATTTCAAAAGTGTTTCTGAATCCATGGTTATGAAGTAGGAATATCCAGTTTCTTATCTGTCTGTTAACCAAGTTCCAAAGTGTTTTAGTTTTCTGGGTTTTAGACTATAGGTGGTCCTGTTTGAGATTGCTAAGACCCAAGTAGATAAGAGTAGTTGCATTTAAAAAGCAGAGATTACTGCAAGTATAGAAGTAATGCATTTTGGTAGGTTTGCAAACATATGTACACTTTCTAAAATGTCTAGATAGCTGTGTACCTATGGAATTTTTTCACAGGTTAGTTTTGCTGGTAGGCCTATAACAAGATTCAATTATCATTAATATTTGGCTCACATTAGCTAACTCATAAGGGTCAGTGATATGGTTTGGCTCTATGTCCCCACCCAAATTTCATCTCAAAGTGTAATCCCCGTGTGTCAAGGGAGGCACCTAGTGGGAGGTGATTGGATCATGAGGGAAATTCCCCCATGCTGTTCTTATGATAGTGAGTTCTTATGAGATCTGATGGTTTTATAAGTGTGGTTACCCTGCTCTCTCTCTCTTTCCTGTCACCTTTTGAAGAAGGTACTTGCTTCTCCTTTGCCTTCTGCCATAATTGTAAGTTTCCTGAGGCCTCCTCAGCCATGCAGAACTGTGAGTCAATTAAATCTCTTTCCTTTATGAATTACACAGTCTTGGGTATGTCTTTATAGGAGTGTGAAAACAGACTAATATAAGAAATTTGTACCAGAAGTGGGGTACTGCTATAAAGATAACATGAAAATGTGGAAGCAACTTTGGAACTGGGTGACAGGCAGAGGTTGGAACAGTTGGGAGGGCTCAGAAGAAGACAGGAAGATATGGAAAAATTTGGAACTTTCTAGAGACTTGTTGAACAGTTTTGACCAAAATGGTGATAGTGATGTGGACAATGAAGTCCAGGCTGAGGTGATCTTAGATGAACAGTTTCCTCAGAGATGAGGAACCTATTGAGAACTGGGGCAGAGGTCACTCTTGCTATGCTTTAGCAAAGATACTGGTGGAGTTTTGTCCCTGCCCTAGAGATCTGTAGAACTTTGAACTTGAAAGAGATGATTTTGGGTATCTGGTGGAAGAAATTTCTAAGCGGCAAAGCATTCAAGAGGTGACAGAGCATAAAAGTTTAGAAAATTTGCAGCCTGACCATGTGGTAGAAAAGAAAAACCCATTTTATGGGGAGAAATTCAAGCTAGCTGCAGAAATTTGCATAAGTAATGAGGAGCTGAATGTTAATAGCGAAGACAATGAGGAAAATGTCTTCAGAGCCTGTCAGACCTCCATGGAAGCTCCTTTCATCACAGGCCTGGAGGTCTAGGAGGGAAAAATGGTTTTGTAAGATGGGCCCAGGACCCCACTGCTCTGTGCACCACTGGGACTTGGTGTCCTGCGGCCCAGCTGCGGGTCTAGGAGGTCTAGGAGGGAAAAATGGTTTTGTAAGATGGGCCCAGGATCTCACTGCTCTGTGCACCACTGGGACTTGGTGTCCTGTAGCCCAGCTGCTCCAGCTCCAGCCATGGATGATAAGGGCCAAGGTACAACTCAGGCTGTTGCTTCAGAGGGTGCAAGCGCCAAGCCTTGGTGGCTTCCATGTGAAGTTGAGGCTGCCAGTGTGCAGAAGACAAGAATTGAGGTTTGGCAACATTTGCCTAGATTTTAGAGCATGTATGAAAATACCTGGATGTCTAGGTAGAAGTTTGCTGCAGGGGCAGAACCCTCATGGAAAACCTCTGCTAGGGAAATGTGGAAGGGAAATGTGGATTTGGAGCCCACACACAGAGTCCCCACTGGGGCACTTCCCAGTAGAGCTGTGAGAAGAGGGCCACTGTCCTCCAGACCCCAGAATGGCAGATCCATGTGTAAGAATTAAAGAAAGAAGAAAGAAACATGAAAAGCAGCTCAACAGTCAAAGACACTTTTATTTTTTAATATAAACCTGAGAGGGACTTCTGACCGATTTCAGTCAGGAGCACTCTCTCTTACAGACTAAGAGTATTTAAGGATTCAGGGTGGGAAAGCTTATCACAGGCTCGGAATGTTTCTGTGTCTCTTTGTCTTGCTTCTCTGGGAGAGAGACTTTTTGTGTCTATTTCCATATATCTTCCTGAAGCTGCAGGCATACCCGTCTGAGTTGCTTTTACCTTTCCTATCTTAGTGCACCTAAAGGGAAAGGGATGTGCTTATTAGGTCCACTATTTTACTGGGGCCCATTGTATTAGTGTGAAGTTTGGCGATTACCAACACACCTTCCCCCTTCCTTCTGTGCCTGAGCTGCCTTATCTGTGTTTTACTGTCTGCTCATTCTGGCTGCTTGTTGTTAAAAGAGAAGTGATTTCCTTGAAATGCACGAGGTTAGAAAGGGAGCTGGAACTTAAAACAGTGGTATTTGACCAGGATGACAGTGCTCTTGCTCTATCACCATGAACAGCTTGTAATGTGCACCTGGAAAAGCTACAGGCACTCAACACCAACCCATGAGAACAGACGCGGGGGTGGAACACTGCAAAGCCACAGTGGTGGATCTGCCCAAGGCCATGTGAATACACCATTTGCATTAGTGTGTCCTGGATGTGAGACATGGAATCAAAGGAGCTTTAAGATTTAATGACTGCCCCCACTGGATTTTGGACTAGGATGGGGGCCTGTAGCCCCTTTACTTTGGCCAATTTCTCCCATTTGAAATGGGGACATTTACCAAATGCCTGTACCCCCATTGTATCTTGGAAGTAACTAACTGGTTTTTGATTTTACATGCTCATAGGCGGAAGGGACTTGCTCTGTCTCAGATGAGACTTTGGATTTCAGACTTTTGGGTTACTGCTGGAATGAGTTAAGACTTTCAGGGACTGTTGGGAAGGCATGATTAAAATATGAAAAGGGCATGAGATTTGGGAGGGGCTAGGGGTGGAATGATATGGTTTGTCCCTGTGTTCCTACCCAAATCTCATCTCAAATATAATCCCCATGTGTCAAGGGAGGGACCTGGTGGTAGGTGATTGGATCATGGGTACGGTTCCTCCCATGCTGCTCTTGTGATAGTGAGAGAGTTCTCATAGGATCTGATGGTTTTATAAGTTGTGGTGTCCCCTGCTCTCTTGGTCTTTCCTGCTGCCTTTTGAACCAAAGGGACTTGCTTCTCCTCATCTTCTGCCATGATTGTAAGTTTCTTGAGATCTCCTCAGCCATGCAGAACTCTGCGTCAATTAAACCTCTTTCCTTTGTAAATTACCCAGTCTCAGGCATTTCTTTATGGCAGTGTGAAAATGGGCTATTATAGTCAGTGAGGGTCAAGCATGTTTTATCTCAACCAACAACAGATTCTTGGGTAGGATGGCAGTAATGCAGTTTGATACCAAAAGGTGATGGATAGGATGATGATGATAATAAATAATATGTAATAAGAACAAATTTTAGAAGGATATGTTTCAAAGAGTACAGAAGTTTGTTAGACCTGACTGGTATTGGATAGACATAACATTGTTTAAGTTCGACAGAAGGAGAAGATCCACCCTGTGTGGGGAACAATGAGAACAGGTCTGAGGTACAGTGAATGAGATTGTTGATTTATGGGAACGGTGAAGTTTTGGAAAATACACAGAATGAGATGTGGCATACTTGAAAGATTCTATTCCAGGGAAAACATACACACACTGGAAAATGGAGATCTCCCTTAGAGACTCGGGATAGAGAAAGAAGCAGCTAAAAAGAATTGGGTTCTATCAGAATAAAATACCACCAGTCAATAAGAAGATAATCAATTAAAAACAGGCTAATGACAAACACTACCATAAGATGATAACAAAAGTCTACCTGCATTAAATAAACTGCACAATTGTACTTTAATGTAGCGGGAGGTAGAACATGTACCCTTGAACTAAAGCTAAAGCCAAGTGAGCCCCCTCCTCCCTTGAGTATCATCTGCTAGTATGGGAGAAAAATAATTCAAGACATAATCCTGATCATAAGGAAAATAGAATCCAATGTTTGTAAAACTTGCTATATAAAGAAAAGTATTGCTTACTATTGCTGGACAAGAAAAATTCAAGATATGAAATTCTGATCATTAAAAAGGATCCCAAAATTTATTAAAATATTATGTGTAATGAAAAGATAATAAATATTTATTGAATGAATTCCTCAATTTTCCTATGAATTGAGAAGTGCTCATGAAAATGCATAGGTAAATTATAAAATGCTATTCCATTTCATTCAGGGCTCTGCTGAGCTGAAATACCACAGAGATCCCTTTCCAGACTGAATTGTTTGAAAAAGTTCTCCCTATCACTTTCTTCATAGCACATATCATTTGAGGTTTTACTATTTTTCTGTCCTTCACTAGAGAATAAGCACCATGTGGTCAGTGAGTTCATTTGTTTTAACTTGTGGTCTCTCATACCTAGAATAGTTCTGGCCAAATAGAAGACACTCAATAAATATTTGTTGAATGAATAAATGAATAAAAAAACTTCATTAAATATTTTGAAGGGATTTTCATATAAAAGAAAAAGAAATGCTGAACTTTTCAGCAAAGTAACCCATGTATTTGAGATAAAATTAACTCCTCCACTTTAAGTTTGATTTACGCAAAAAAATTGTACATTTTTAAACTATAATTGTAACCTGATAAATATATTTTCTAAATAAGTTAATAAATTTTGGAAAACATTTGATGCAAGATATACTGTGAGAGAGCCATGAGATCTGGCCAGTTGACCATGTTACTATTGGAAATGTTAATAAAACAGTAAGATTGCTGATGTTGCTTTCCATTAGAAAAAAATATCAGAGAAACATATGCTAAGGGGATAAACAAAAATGAGGAGTCTAGAGTCTACTTGATCTTAGTTATTGAGACAATTCTATTAACAAGAGAGTGGGGGGCCAATATAATGTGGTCTATTAACAAGAGAGTTAAGGATCAATATAATGTGGTCCTTAACTATATCCTTACATAATTTGACACATGAATGTGCAACATAGTAAAGCATTAGTGACTTTATCATGATGAGCATCAGATTTAGGATCCTGTAATGAACACATCCCAGTCTCTCTTCTAGCTAAATATTGAAGTCAGAATGGAGAGATTGCATCCTTTGGAGGCTTGACGGAGACTTTGATTGCCATTTGGCCTTAAGCTCCATATCAAGCTAACATGAATTAGAAAATTATTCCCACACTGCTGTAAAGGTGAAGCCATAGACTCCATGTCAGATCCTCGGCACATATGTAATTGAGTTTGTGCCATAAATAGCAAGGTAGTACAGAAGTTACGTGAAAATTAGTCTGTACTATAGTTACAAATATGTATAGTAAAAATTGTGATTAAATTCAGGGCATTTTAAACTTGAGTTGTCCTTTTATTATTCGGAGACAAATATAGTAAAATCTAGAGGAGTGGTTTTACCCCAAAAGCCCAAGAATTATTCATCAGCAGAACAAAGGCATAAATTGAGGCCTCTTGAATCCCAATCCTTTTGTACTCTTTAATACAGGTACTCTTGGATTTATGGTGAGTTTATGTCCCAATTAGCCCATCATAAGTTGAGAATATCATAAGTCAAAAATGCGTTAAATACTCCCAACCTACCAAACATTATAGCTTAGTCTAGCCTGTCTTCAGTGTGCTCAGAGTACTTACATTAGACTGTAGTTGGGCAAAATCACCTAACACAAAGCCTATTTTATAATAAGGTGTTGAATATCTCATGACTGCATGTCACTGCCTGGAAAAAGATAAAAATTCAAAATTCACAGTACATTGAAATTGTGATGGTTTTATATCATCGCACAGTGGAAAAATTACTAACTTGAACCAGCATAAGTTGAAGACCATCTGTATATGACACTTACCTGCAGAGAATCATCTGGATTCTAACTGAATAAAGCCCTCAACTGAGATTTTTTTATTGCGAAACTTTGATTTGAAACACAGTGAATAAACATCAAAATATAAGGTACAAAGATACAAGTCAATACTTTGAATATAAGAAAAGCAACCTTTGACAATAAGATTCCAAGACCAGGATAGTCAACATTACTCTTTCATCGTGACTTTAGGATGACCAAGGCAGGCACAATGAAGATAAAATATGGCATATCCTTGTTCTTCTTCAGAGCCATGAGTATTTGCTTTTTGTTTAAAGGTGTTTTTAGCAGCTTGAAGAAGCTGCTAAACCATTTTTTGACTCTGAATGTTCAGGAAACTATGTTGAGCTCTGAAGATGCAATAATTTTTAAGTTATCTACATATATCTCTCTCTTTCTTACCAACCATACATCTGTGCACCATGTTAGATTTTATTTGTTATGATTCTCAAAATAGGAGATAATGAAAATATTAACAGACTGCTGTTTAGTTTATAAAATGCTGTTTTTCAGTTAATATTAAATTCTGAACAATATGACTAGTATTCTTATGGTTGTCTTACTCATGAGGAATCTGAGGCTCATAGATTGTAATTTGACACAAATTACAAACCTTCTAAATGGAAAAGCACAAGATAGGGATTTCTGACTCCAAAGCCAGTGTTTGTTTGTTTGTTTTCTTACTGTGTTGCTTGTAGCATCTACTTACAGGCATTATTATTATTGCTTAAAAAATCTTGCCATCTGTTTACATTGACTTACCACTTTAGAAACCATTTGCTAAAAAGTTGACAGTATAATAAAAGTATTCCATTATTAAGGATGAATAATTAGAACTAGATGTGAAAGGTGAAAGGGTAGAGTTTAAATACATATAATTTATTATTTAAGAAACTTCTAATAAAGAAGATTCTTTTACAATATGACTGACTATACCTTCCAAAATTTCAGTGAATGTTATTAAATCAGCATCCTCAAAGATTTCATGTCTGCCAAGTGTTGCAGACAAAAATAAAACTCTTTGAAAGCATCTTGCCAATTGTCTCTAGCTCCTTTATGTGATGAAATGTTTGTAGATTTATTATAAAATCATAATTTCCATTTTAGTATTTTCATAATACTATATTTGATAGAAGTCACTTAATTAAAAGTGTTGTCAAGGGAAGTCAGCTGAAAATTAAGAAAGCACAGACAGCTGCCTCTGTTGCTACCATGAAATTTATGTCTTTTAAGAAGTACTTTATTCTCATTCAACAATGTTTGCATGTTGGTTAATTTCAAATGTATCTTTCAAATTTATGAATGTATAATTTTTATTAAACAAAAACATTATAAAAATTAACGCATAAAAGTGAAATACTCATGTTTTTATACAGTTAAATTTAGAATAAATGTAAGTTTTTTGAAGGAACAAAGTATCGTTTGTATAGGAGAGAAAGAATGTGTGTATGTGTTTGTGTGTGTGTGTGTGTCTGTGTCTGTGTATCTGTGTTTATAGAGGTGGTGAAAATTTATTAAATCCCCCCAAAATGGAACTGGATATGACATTATAGTGTATTTGGTCTACCTAGACCACCTTACTTGTCAACAGATGGGAGCCAGGAGACTTTAAATAAGTATCTTAAGGTCACATAGTATGTTAGTAGCAGAGCAGAACTAGAACAGATTTTCTCATTCTCAGTTATCTTTTCTCATTACTCTTCTTCTTCTTTAGTTTTATTTGTTATTTGTGATAATTTACAGTGCATTTGTGAATTGACATGCCTATGAGACTTCTGTTGGCCTACTTTGCTTAATCCTAAGAGGGCTATTACATGAGGACATCTGAATTGAGAAAGGCAGGAAAATGTATTTAGGTGTGACATTAATTTGTGACCTATGAAAGTGCTGTAGCATGCCCCCATATCTAGGCCTTCAGTTTAAACAAATTGGTTAAATAGGGGCTGTGGCTCCCACACTCTCTAATTCCTAAGGCTTTTCTCTCCCATCCCAATGTAAGTCAATGCTGATTGAACCTCGTTCACTTAGGAGTGTCCTTGTGACTGCCTTCTGGGTATAAATGCTCAAGATAATGATGACACGTATGGTAACTGTATTCTCCTGTATTCTGAGAGATGAAAGTGAACTGTGATTCTGCTTGCAAGGTATCTGTGCCTGCTTGTATTCTTCCCCAGCATTTCCCAGTCTTTCTGACTTTTCCATAGATCTTCATCATTTCCATAGACATTTGTCTTCCTTCTTTTTTTAACTTTTACATGTCATATGGGAGTGGCCCCTGTAAGTATCATTTGTTCTTACCCAACTTTCTCTATGACATAAGAAACCTTTTAAATACTGATCAAAATAATTCAGGCAATGTTCTTTAATAATATAAAATATAAGTATTGTGTTTCAGATGAATCAGACATATTCGTTTAGTAGGTCAGATTCTCCATATCATTATAGTGATGAGCATATAGTAGGATTTATGGAAATACTTCACTTACATTTCCCTTATGGAGATGACAATAGTAAGAATTTTTACTTTTTTTCTTACCTTTCACTACGTAAGGATGAGCTTGGATTATTTATTTTAAAATCCATAATTAGGCATTTCCAACTACTTAATATGGTTTATATAAACTTACTAGGAATATCTGTTGAATTAAAACCTTACCTTATGTTTGATTTTAAATGTACCTGTCTTAATCCTTAAAATAAGAAGGGTACATTTTTTTCAATTACTCCTCACTTAAGAAAAGATATTCTTGAGTAGTTATTTATAATAAGGAGATCATGGACTACTTACATTTTAACTCAAATTCTTCTTAAGTGTTTACATTTTTAAATATTGATTATTGCTAGAAGGAACTCATACATTAAATTGGCATACTCTTTTTTTATTCTTTTCTTGCCTTATTTTCAATTATTCTATAAATTAGAAAATTTTTTTTCTTAGAATAAACAAAATCACAGTGTTCTGAGATTTTGCAAAGTCTATGTCACTGAATAACAGTGAATATGATTTTTCCTTATGAATGAGAATATTTTCTCTGGCAAAAATAGAATTAAATTAGAAATCAACTACACAAATAAATTTGGGAAACCCTGAAGTATTTGGAAATTTATGAATATATTTCTAAAAGAGGTCACAAGAAATTGTAAAATATTTTGGACTGAATGAAGACTAAAATCCAACATTTCAACATTTATAGAATGCAACTAAAACGGTAGTTTTGGGGGAATTTATAGTTTTAAATGTCTATTTTAGGGAAGAATAATATTCTCAAATTAATATCCCTAGCTTAATCTTAAGAAACTTAACAACAGAAAAGCAAAGTTATTCAAAGCAAACAGAAGGAAGAAAATAATAAAGATTAAGATGGAAATATACCCAAAAGTTAATTCTTTAAAAAGACCAACAAAACTGACAAAATCTTACCTAGATTTACTACAAACATGAGGGAAAACACAAATTACCAAGACTGACAATGAAAGAGATGACATCATTAGGACCCTAAAGACATTTTAATATATTATAAAAATGTTATTATAATAATTTAGATAACTAGCAAAAATGGATAAAGTCATGGAAGGACCCAAATTACCAAAGTGGGGTCAATGAGAATTTGAGAGTATGAATAAAACTATAAAATTGAATTAGCAATTTAATATCTTCTCTAAAATAAAAGCCCTCTATCTCATGGCCTTATTCAAAATTCTGTGAAATATTTAAAGAAGAAATAGTAGTAATCTTTCCTACTGGTACCAGTAGGAACCATAAAAATGTATTTTATTAATAGGCTAGTGTAATCCTAATTCTCATATCAGACAAATGCATCACAAGGAAACACAACCAAACAGATAAATAAACAACAAAAACTACAGACTAATATTTTTCATAAATGTAGAGGCGGAAGTCTTTAACAAAATATTAACAAACTAAATTCAAGAACATATAAAAAGCATTATACACTGTGACCATGTAGGATATATTCCAGACAGTCAAGGTTGGTTTGTCATCTAAAAGTCAAATAAGGTAATACATTATATTAACAGAATAAAGTAAAAAGCAACACAGTGAACTCAATATACAGAAAAAAATTGAAAAATTCTAATAGTCATGATAAAAACTCTCAAAAAACTAGTAATAAAAGGGAATATCTTTAAAATGACAAACAGTATTTAGTTCACAGCGGATATAATACTTAATGGTAGAGAATGTTAATTTAATATTTCTATTAAAATCTGAAATGAGGCAAGAATGTCTGTTCTCATCACTTCTATTCAACATAGTACTGAAAGATCTAGCCAGTGCATTAAAAAGGAAAAAAAAGCAATTAACAGCACTCAAATTGAAAGAGAAATGTACAATTATTTTACTTCTCAGATGACATGATCCTTTATGCAGAAAATACAAAGAGATCCATAATAAACTACTTGAACTAATAAACAAATTTACCAATGTCATAGGATACAAGATTAATATAATTGTATTTCTGTGTACTTTCAAGGAGCAATCTAAAAATGAAATTATAGAAAAATTATATCCATGACATCAGAAATAAGATACACAAAAAAATTAAGAATATAATGTAAATGTAAGTATAATATATATTAATATAGCATAATTATAATGAATATGAAATAAATATAAATATGTAAAATAACATCACAAACTAAGAATATAAATAAAAAAGATTAAAAAATCTGTGTTAAAAACTACAAAATGTTGCTAAAACAAATTGAAGATCTATATAAATGGAGAGACATTCCATGTTCATGAATTGTAAGTCTCCATACTGTGAAGATGGCAATTCTCCCAAAATTGATCTATACATTGAATGCAATTTCTATCAAAATTCTAAGTAGGCTTTTTTTGGAGGTAGAAATTGATGAGCTGGTTTAGAAATTTATGTGAAAATGTTAAGGACCTAAAACAGCCATGACAATATTTAAAAATAAGAAAATGGCCATACTGCCCAAATTGATTTATAGATTCAATCCTACCCCAATCAAACTACTGTTGACTTTCTTCACAGAATTGGAAAAAACTATTTTAAATTTCATATGGAACCAAAAAAGAGCTCACATAGCCAAGACAATCCTAAGCAAAAAGAACAAAGCTGGAGGCATCATGCTACCTGACTTTAAACTACACCGCAAGGCTACAGTAACCAAAACAGCATGGTACTGGTACCAAAACAGATATATAGACCAATGGAACAAAACAGAGGCCTCAGAGACAACACCACACATCTACAACCATCTGATCTTTGACAAACCTGACAAAAACAAGCAATGGGGAAAGAATTCCCTATTTAATAAATGGTGTTGGGAAAACTGTCTAGCCATATGTAGAAAGCTGAAAGTGGATCACTTCCTTTCACCTTATACAAAAATTAACTCAAGATGGATTAAAGACTTAAACATAAGACTAAAAACCATAAAAACCCTAGAAGAAAACCTAGGCAATACCATTCAGGACATAGGCATGGGCAAAGACTTCATGACTAAAACACTAAAAGCAATGGCAACAAAAGCCACAATTGACAAATGGGATCTAACTAAACTAAAGAGTTTCTGCACAGCAAAAGAAACTACCATCAGAGTGAACAGGCAGCCTACAGAATGGGAGAAAATTTTTGCAATCTATCCATCTGACAAAGGGCTAATATCCAAAATCTACAAAGAACTTAAATTTACAAGAAAAAAACAACCCCATCAAAAAGTGGGTGAAGAAAATGAACAGACTCTTCTCAAAAGAAGATCATTATGTACCCATCAAACATATGAAAAAAAGCTCATCATCACTTTTCATTAGAGAAATGCAAATCAAAACCACAATTATATATCATCTCACGCCAGTTAGAATGGCAATCAATAAAAAGTCAGGAAACAACAGATGCTGGAGAGGATGTGGAGAAATAGGAATGCTTTTACGCTGTTGGTGGGACTGTAAATTAGTTAAACCATTGTGGAAGACAGTGTGGTGATTCCTCAAGGATCTAGAACTAGAAATACCATTTGACCCAGCAATCCCATTATTGGGTATATACCCAAATAATTATAAATCATTTTACTATAAAGATACATGCACACATATGTTTATTGTGGCACTATTCACAATAGCAAAGTCTTGGAACCAGCCCAAATGCCCATCAATGATAGACTGGATAAAGAAAATCTGGCCCATATACACCATGGAATACTATGCAGCCATAAAAAACGATGAGTTCCTGTCCTTTGGAGGGACATGGATGAAGCTGGAAACCATCATTCTCAGCAAACTAACACAAGAACAGAAAACCAAACACCACATGCTCTCACTCATAAGTGGGAGCTAAACAATGAGAACACATGGTGAACAGTAAGGGGAACATCATACACCGGGACCTGTCAGTGGGTGAGGAGCTAGGGGAGGGATAGCATTAGGAGTATAGGAGTAATACCTAATGTAAATGATGGGTTGATGGGTGCAGCAAACCACCATGGCACATCTATACCTGTGTAACAAACCTGCACATTCTGCACACGTACCCCAGAACTTAAAGTATAATAATAAAAACAAAAAAGAAATTGGAGGAATTGCCATACCCGATTTCAAAACTTACTATAATGTTACAGTAGCCAAGAAAATGTGGTACTATCATAATGACAAAAATATAAATCAGTGAAATAGAATTGAAAGTCAAGAAATAAGCCCTTAGGTTTATGGCCAATTAATTTAAAAAAATAGCAAGGCAATTCAATGAAGGAAAGAATAGTATTTTCAACAAATGGTGATAGGAAAATTATATATCCACTTGAAAAAAAATGAATTTAGACCCTGATACCACAATAGAAAAAAAATTCAGAATATAGAAGACCTTAATGTTAGCACTAACACTATAAAACTTTTTAGAAAAAGACTACCAGATAATCTTTTACCTTGATTTAGACAAATATTCTTAAATGTGATATCAAGAGCATCATTCATAAAAGTGAAAATTAATAAACTTGACTTATTGCTAAGAGAATGAAAAGTCAGGGAGAATGAATTTGCAAACCTTATATTTTATGAAGATCTTATATCTAAAATGTATTTTAAAAAATCAAAACAAATCAGGCGAGAGATTTTAACAAATTTTTTACCAAAGAATTCATGTGATTGGGTAATACATACATGGAAAGGTGCTCACCATCATTATCTTTCAGGAAGTGCAAATTAAAAACATAATGAAATACCTCTATATATCTACAAGAATACCTATAATCAAAACGGCAACATTGGCAAAATGCGGAGAGACTAGAACCTTTATGCATTGCTGGTGGAAATACAACACTTGGGGAGACAACGTGACAGTTTCCTAAAAAGTAAAATGTGTACTTATTACATAACCCAGTAATTCCACTGTTATTTATATGCCAATGCAAAACGAGACATACAGCTATGCAAAATCTTGTACAGGAATGTTTATGACAACATTCTTTATATACTTAAACACTGCAAACAATACAGAATTCTATTAACTAGTAAGTGGATAAAAATGTATATATATACAGTGGAATATGAATGATTAACAGTAAAAAGAACAAACTCCTGTGGCTACTATAAGATGGATAAGTCCTGAAAACATTATGCTGATTAAAAGAAGCATATGTACTGCGTATTGTATGATTCCATTCAAATGAAAAGTCCAGAAAAGCCAAATTTTCTAGAGACAAAGAGCAGATTGCCTGGTGATTGAATTTTACCTATACAATGGCTAAATTTTTAAGATATGAACATTACACCCCCAAAATGAGAGACATGGAAGGAGTAATCAGAGCCATTTCCAGATGTAATCTCAGCCTCTTACCATAGGGATGATATGGACTGGAGGAAATTCTCAAGAATGTGATTATTTTAATTATGATGGGAACAAGGTAACTATAAAGAATAGAAAACAAACATTTTAGAGATAAGCCCTGATTCCATTTCTGTATTGAATTTACAGATAATTGTTTAGACACTACTTTTGATCGAAATAACATATATAAGCTATTTAGACTTAAAAGAAAAAGACATGTAGAAAGTTTCCTCTAGTTGAACAAAACCTTCAACTGCTTTCTGTATTCCTATTTTGACTCTCGAAAAGAAAGAAAATGAAAAGGCAAACAATGGGTGAAGAGCTTTTATTCAACTACATTCTTTTACCTGATATGTTTTAGGTTCAATAAAAGCCAATTTTATGAGTTTGTGGATATATATACACACACACATATATACGTATTGAGCATTGCTTGAATATTGAGACTTTTGGAATGATCAGGTATAGTAAAATAAACTCTGATATAGAGGACTAGAAAGAAAAATGACTTTTTAAAAATAAAACAGGTGCATTTGTACTTTGAATGTACAGTGTATGTGTCACATGTTTATATGTGATACTTATGCACATTACTTATATACGTATTTAATGTTAAACATGTAAAATATACACACTAAGAGTACATGTTTTGTTTATATTTTGCTAGGTTCTCATTTAATCACAAGGAATATTAACCTAATTAAGGCACAACATTTTCTTTTTGCCATATTCTAACAGCAAAGATAAAGAGACACTCCAGTGTCATGTTATATGTATGACAGATGCTTACAGTCAACAATTGCCACTGCAAACAGCATTGGTTAGCAACTGTATTAAACTTAGACGTACTGTTGGTGATTTGGGTGGACTTAACAGTTGTCAAAATTTGGGGTAAGTCAGTTTTCATCTTGTGAGTTTGATTTTTTTTTTTTTTTAGTCTGGGTCATGCTCTGTTGCCCAGGCTGGAGTGCAGTGGCACAATGTGGTCTCACTGCAACCACCACCTCCCTTGTTCAAGTGATTCGTCTGCCTCAGCCTCCCAAGTAGCTGGAATTACAGGCACGTGCCACCACGCCCGGCTAATTTTTGTATTTTTAATAGAGCTGTAGTTTCACCACATTGGCCAGGGTGGTCTCGAACTCTTGACCTCAGGTGATCCACCCACCTCAGCCTCCCAAAGTGCTGGGATTACAGGCATGAGCTACCACGCCCGGCTGTGAGTTTGATTTTAATATAAAGTTTTCTAACCACATGAAAGAGTTTCTATTGTTTTGATTACCATGGCTATAATTGATCTCAATTTTTTTCATGCAGGCAATATTAGCATTGTGATACATAAAATATATACTCAATTTAATTCTTTGGGAGTGACCACCAGCTCTCTCCTTAACTGACTACTCTCTAGGGATAAAAAAGCAATTTGAGGAAATTTGGGCCATGTAAAGATATTGTAAACATCAAAATTGTGAGAAACAAAAACTAAATATAATATGAATTCAAATTGTGTGTGTATATTCACATAAAATCTGTCCAACTTCCAACAGTTGAATGACTGGAATTATTTCTAACTTCTGAGATTTGATATTGGTTCTATGACTAAAGAACAAGCTGGAAAGGACTACCATGTTATTAGACCACCCATAGGTAAAATTATTTTCAAGGCTTACATAGTAAAACATATATTTTATATATATATATACACACACACACCTTTGTTTGCATTATTATACTAGATATTGTGGCTATAAAACAGAATAGAATATGAAATTTGTCCTCAAGGATGTAAAAGTACATTTATCTTTTTCTTTCTTCTCAGAACATTGTAATAAATGTAGTACATTTTCCTCTGTAGAATTAGTAACCATAGTATTCATTTGAATATTCAGTGGTAATGTGAGTTTCAATTTTTAGCTTTATAGGTACTTTCTAGTGACTGATATAATAGGTTTCAGAGGCCCATTAACTCTACCTGGTGTCCACATAAGTAATCACATACTCTGTTGTATGAATGGCTTACATTTTTCATAACGACCTGCAAATATAAAACCTTTCTTTCTCTCCCTATTAGTTATTCTCTCTTGGCACGTAAGTAGAAGAGACATAATGAAATACCAGGAGTTTTATCTATTTGAACTCAAGTAATATCTCCCAAGGTGACATTCCCATGGGTAAAAAAGCAGTCTTCTTCATTTTTGTGTTTTAAAACACTTATTTAGATCTAGACTTAAGTGTTGCTTTTCTTGTAGGAGTTTGAAAATGCTTAACAGTCTAAAGTTAATTATTACTCTTTACAAATATATTCAAGTTTCTCAAGTTATCTAACTGGCTATTCTTCCTGGCTGGTTGCCTGTAGATTTTCTTAGAAAATTTGCTACTTTGACAGGGTAGAGTTACATGATATTGTCCCTACTGTTGTATTCTGGATGTCTCTCATGCTGCCCTATCAGAATCCCGAGAAATGGCATAGGAAGATCACTGGAGGGTACACTGAGCATAAATTGATCTGGCTACTGCCAGGTCTTGAGAATGAGAAGAGGGAAGAGTTGCTGTGTATGTTGAGCAATTAAAGTACTATCAAATGAATCTGATCACAACATATTGCCTGGAAATATGCTATATTGCTATGGCAAAGTCTATTTTGTATATGAGATTGATTGTTCCACATGAGGGCAGGAACTTGTCTTTCATAATGAGTCAGAGAAGTGACAATTTCTCGTTATATTTCAGAGTTATGGGGGATTGACTATAGTGTGTATTCTGCAGATATGCCTCAAAGATAAAAATAAATTAAATGCAATGGAAACGTGTTGATGAATTTAAAAAGTTGTTATTTAACCTATTGGTATTTATTAGCTCCCCTGTGGCTTCTATGTTGAGAATAAAAAGATGAATAAAACAAGTTTACACTAATATCTTGTCATCTCAAACGCTCAAAATAGTCAGTCTTAAATGACTGATTTGATGCTTTTTTTTTTAGTAAAATTTAAAACCTAGTGACTAAAAGGGCATTCTTTGGAGTGGCAGAGATGTTCTATGTTTTGATTGTGATGGTGGTTATATGCTTGTATATATTTGTCTATTAAATTTTCCATTAAATACTGTTAACATGGGTAGATTTTGTTATATGAAAATTTGACTCAAAGTAAGTTGATGTTGGTCAAAAGGTGCAGTTTCAGTTACACAGGATGAATAAGTTCTGAAGATCTTTCATACAACATGGTGACTATAGTTAACCGATATCATATTTTATACTTAAAGACTGCTAAAAAGAATAGATTTTAAATGTTCTCACCACACTTATAAGCAAAAACTGGTAACTCTGTGAAGTAATGGATGTCTTAACCAGTTTGATTGTAGTAATCATTTCACAATATACAGGCACATCAAAACATATTGTACACCATAAATATATACATTTTTTCCAACTATACCTCAATAAGGATTAGAAAATAAATAAAAATGGTTTATTTTCTCTCTCATTATATAATAGATGATAATGTGTACCAGTACTGCTGGTAAAAGTATTATAAATAATATTTGCTAATATATATTAATGCAGTTACAGATTATTTTCCCTTTGTTCCGATGTTCTGATTGTGGAATAATTACTGAGTATAGAGTTAATTCCAGGCTTGCTCTTTCTCTCTGTTTCTTTCTTCTCTTTCACTCACATAAACTAAAGGCATAATTTAATAAATGCCCTTTCGTGTGGACCTTTGGAATGTCTTTTATTCCATTAAAACTTAGAGAAATTGAATGGTATTTTAGGCCTTTAACACATTGTTTAATTTACTATTTTCTTCTAAAGAATTGGGATTTCAACAATCCAAAGGTGCCTCAAGCTTAACATGTTCAAAATTGAACTCCCTGTTGTTCCTCACTAACTTGTATCTTCTGCTCTCCAAACTTCTGTGAATGATACCGTCACTTACCAGTCACACAAGACAGAGGTCTAGAATTCCTCTATGCCTCCCTTTTCCTGGTCCTTTCCCTATGAACTGTATTCCAGTCCCATCAGTCCACCTCCTTGACACTTCCTGGATCCATTCCCCTGGAGTTACTGTTGTGCTTCCATCTTAATTCAGGCTCCATTTATCTTTTACCTGGCCTACTGCTTTTCTACAATTAATACTTCTGCAGCAGCAAGGTGATCACTACAGTGTCAAATTGGTTATGTGAACTCCTAAAGTTTAATCTTTTACTAATTTCCCATTTCCTAAAAGGTTAGAATCCAAATTCCTTGGTATGACACACCTCCATGGTATGACATGGAGGACAAGGTCCTCCATGATATGAAGCCTATCCACCTCTTCAATAGCAATTATAGAACCCGACCATATTTAATAAGTTTATTTAATATTGAATACAGAATCCGAAACCGTAATAGGTTGTCTCACACATATATAAAATAAAAGTATTATAAAGAATATTTGCTAATGTATATTTATGCAGTTAGTGATTATTTTCCCTTTGCTCTGATGTTTTTTGTTTTTGTTCCTGCTTTTGTTTGAGAGAGTTTCACTCTGTCACCCAGTCTGGAGTGCAGTGGCACGATCTCAGCTCACTGCAACCTCTGCCTCCCAGGCTCAAGCAACCCTCCCACCTCAGCCTCCCCAGTAGCTGTGACTAGAAGCACATGCCACCATGCCCGGCTAATTGTTTTGTATTTTTAGTAGAGTTGGGGTTTTGTTATGTTGCCCAGGCTGCTCAAACTTCTGAGCTCAGGCAATCTGCTTGTCTCAGCCTCCGAAAGTGCTGGGATTAAAGGTGTTAGCTGCTGCGCCCAGCCTATAATTTTTAATTAATTTATTTTCTCTATCTGGAATAACCTTACACAAAAAGGGTCATCTAGTGAAATAGCTACTCTGTGCCAGTGTCAACTGCATTTGGAAATTACTCATATTCCTCTGAGGGATAAATGACCAACTCTTCCTTATACCACTACAGCATCCTATTTCTATACATGCATTACTTTGTAAGTTCTTTGCAGAGCATTTCCATAACTGATTCAGCTCTGAGATTCCTATACCACACCTGGCATCTGACACATGGTAAACACCAAATCCTTGACAAGTTACTGACTACTATTTATATTTTATGTGATTTATTTAAGCTGAACTAATTATGATGCTTTCAAAATTTAAATGTGTATAGTTTTAACATCAATGAAATCCAGAAGAGATAGTTGAAGGAAAGGTTTCTGAGGTTTTTAGGATGGAAGGAAGCATAGGTAAAAGATCATAAAACTGTCAGCAGCTTTTTAAATATATAGAGTGTTACATAAACACATATCTGTCCATAAGTAGTGATGCCATAAAATTGTCTATCCTTCACCTCAAATACACAAAGTGTAATTTATTTTTTCTTTAATGGATTTGGTCTTCCTTATGTGATGAGTATTGGGATATCATACTTTATTTTGGTCCATTTGCGTCTAATCTCACATTAGTCTATAATGCTGTAGATTCAAGTATCCCTTTAGGCAGTGCTGACTTTCTTGGTTAAAAATCCTGTCTCTCAACCAGTACCTCTCTACCTCCTTACCCTAAAGTGGCATCTGAGGGAAGGGTTGACTTCCTAACCTCTTAGTGCTGAGATAAGATCCCTGCATTGTGATGCCCTGCGACAAATGTGAATTCCTTTTCTTTTTTTCTCCTATATTCCTGCAGTTGCTGGTCTCTCTGTTGGTCATAATGGCTGAGCTCCTAAACTGTTTGAGTCCAGAGTGGCATATTTCTTGTGTGTCCAGTAGAGACTGGTGGTCCTCTCTTGCCTACCCAAGCTCTTCGTGGCTCATGATGGTGACATAGGCTCTCTGAATCACGGCTTCAATTGTTATAGGGTCCTCACTGTTCAACCTCCAGGCCACTTTGCCGGTCCAACTCTACTCTAGATTACCCTGAAATGATTCAAATGATACCATGTGTCTGTTTCCATTAGTGAAGGGTGATGTGATAGAGCAGTCCCAGTCATAATGTCTTTGGAGCTAGAACAAGAATATAAATGGAGATTATTAGTTTTACATTAAATATTTAACTCATGAATCAATCTGACAGTTTGTTAAAAATATATGCTATCCTTCTACCTTGACAAAAATATCTTCTTAATGGTCTGGAGAGCCAGATTTGAATTGAGAATCATCTGACTCCTTAAAGTTCTGCAGCCAAAAAAAAACACAAACAAAACAAAACAAACAAACAAAAAAAACAGCGGTACAGGAGAACTAGCACCTGACACCTGCCCTGTGTCTAACACTAGGTTTTTTTTCACCCCTGAGGCTGTTAGCATCTTGAGAGCTTCAAACAAACATGTGTGAATGCCCCAGCCTGTATGTTGAAACTGTTTACACATGCTACTCCTCAGGCCCAGAGATGCCCATATAGGTGGCTCAATTCATTGCAAAGAGGAAAAACCCAGGGAATGAACTCTCACAGACCAGGGCAGAGGGCTTGGAGAGGAATGTTCAGAGTCCTGGGTAGGGATGGATTCCAGACAGGTATAATATCAATAGGTAATTATGGCCTCCCCTTGGCCTTATGGAATCCTTGCCACATGAGTAGGAGTGAGCTAGAGGAGGGAGAGAGAACCCTCCAACGTGCAGAGACTGGGTGTCCTTGATCTAAGGTTCATACTTACTCAGTTCACAGTTAGATTTCCATAATCTCAAGTCTAAAAGGCTCCTATCTACCAACGTCCTTTCTTAAGGTCTTCTGTTTAATTATACCATGGTCTCGTTCTCCTTTTATATTCTTAAAAAGAACAAGTCACTAACACAGTCTGCCTGGGAACAGTACACTTTTTGGTAACATCTTAGAGCAGAAAATATATTTAAAAAGCAACAATATAAAGAGGAAATTAATTTTCTTTTTGTTTCCTAAGTATTACTTAATACTTACAATATATTTTTCCTATTACTTATATAGGTATTGCCATCGACACTTTGTAAGTTGTAGTAATACACACTCATAAATTCAGCAGTTAACTCCTCTAGCTTTGCACGTAATGCTGTTATTTCTTTTAAAACACACGGTTATCCTATTACGCATGTGAAGCTTGGAATAAAATATATATTAAAATATGACTAAAAATAAAAACAGATTTTATAGGCTTTGGAAGTACTATACTTTAAAAGATCTATATTTTTCACACTGAGGAAGGAGAACTACTGAAATAAAGTGTACTGTGTCAAAGTATTACACACAGAATATGAGAATGGCAATATTGAATATCCTTGCCCAACTGTGGAAAATTAAGGATTAAGATTTGAGGAAAGTCTAAATGCGTTAAAATGGAAAATGTAGGCCAGGCATGGTGGCTCACGCCTGTAATCCCAGTACTTTGGGAGGCCAAGGCAGGTGTATCACCTGAGGTCAGGAGTTCATGAACAGCCTGGCCAACATGGTGAAACCCTGGCTCTACTAAAAATACAAAAATTAGCCAGGGGTGGTGGCGCATATCTGTAGTCCAGCTACTCGGGAGGCTGAGACAGGAGAATCACTTGAACCCATAAGGCAGAGGTTGCAGTGAGCCAAGATCGTGCCACTGCACTCCAGCCTGGGTGACAGAGTGAGGCTTCATCTCAAAAAATAATAAAAATAAAATAAATTGAAAATAATAAGCACAACATTTTGTCATTTAGTTGATAAATCTACAGTTTAGAGTTTGCCATGAGTCAAACACTATCGTTTCCCAAGTGAATTAACTTTCATAATAATTTGCCTTTTTAAAAATGATAATTACCCATTCCATAATGGGTAATTACAGGTAACTATATTTTAAAAGAACTCACTATTACTGTTTATGTATCTACTGATTTGAAAGTGAAAATGTAAAAATGTTTTTATCAACATCACCAAGATGTTTTTCTACAAATTCTAACTGAATTGTATTCTACTCTATAAACTGATAGACCTTTGCTTTAGAAACTTATGTGGAAATACCAATCCAGAGAAATCCTGTCTCCCTATCTCCCACCTGGGACTCTTTAGAACCTTTAGTATTCACTTCAAAACGTCTGATATGGGAATTATAGTGTGGTGTTCTTTAACTTTTAATATCACAGATCCCATAATTTGGAGCATCATGTAACATTTTGTAGAGCTACTATTCCTCAGAACACAATTTGAGAAATGTTCTAATAGAGTCATTTTCCACAAATAGGAAAGTCCTACAAATATTATTATACTAAATCATAATGAAAACTAGTCTGATTTGATGTATTAATTATAAAGTAGTTTAGATTACTTTAACTTTTGGTGATTATTGCCAAAACTTCTTTCCTATTAAGAGTATTCTACAATAAATTAAATTTAGTCCACATATAATGCTGATCATATGTACAGTAACATTAACATCTAAGATGACAGAGTAATATACATCTTATTACTTTTGTGAAAAATAGAAAGGGTTACATAATAAAATATTAATTGTCTAGAATTTGGCTTTCTAGAGGCTTGATATACTGTGATGTAGCCCTTAAAATATGGATGTTCTTGTCAGAAATGTAGTTCTATATTGGGTTCTACTTTTGTTGTCAGTATGACTGGGACAGGTTACTGGATCTCTTTAGGTTTGTTTACTCACAGGTAAAATGGTGGTTAATAATATCTTCCTGGAAGAGTTGTGATACTAAAGAGATGGCCTATATATGTAAACCACCTGGCACCTGGTAGAAGCATTGATTACTCTTCTACCATTCATTTTCTTTGAATTCAATTTTTTTTGAGGAAGTACTTCTTGGTGACAGTGAAGTTCCTTAACCCTCAAGAAAAAGAGAAAACTCAGATTCTTGGAGGAAAGAATGTAGCACTCTCTTTTACCTTGTTATAAAAGGTTAAATTTTCCCTTCAGAAATTTGGAAGGCGTGGGGAAAATTTAAGGGAGCAATAAAGAAGAAAAGCAGAAATCTGAACATAGATGACAATAAAAAGAAATGATAAATACATGCATGTACACTCATGCATGTTTGCACACACACATGCACATGTGTACACATGCCCAACAACCACAAACACATCCACAAATAAAACAAGAGACACTGGCCAGGGGCAGTGGCTCACGTCTGTAATCCCAGCACTTTGGGAGGCTGAGGCGGACAGATCATGAGGTCAGGAGTTCGAGACCAGCCTGGTCAAGAGACCAGCCTGGCCAATATGGTGAAACCCCATCTCTACTAAAAATACGAAAATTAGCTGGGTGTGGTGGTGGGCACTTGTAATCCCAGCTACTCAGGAGGCTGAGGCAGGAGAATTGCTTTAACCCGGGAGGCAGAGGTTGCAGTGAGCCGAGATCACACCATTGCACTCCAGCCTAGGTGCCAAAACGAGACTCTGACTCAAAGAAAAAAAAAAGAGACACTGAAAAAAAGAGAAAATTAACTGTGATGCTCACTATTCCTGTGAGGTTGATTTAACTGCTACCTGCACTGCAATTTAATATGATGAACTTAAGAGTACAAGGCATCTGGAATTAATCTGAAAAATTATTATTAGAATAATGACACTTGAAGTGTTGACTTTTGACTACAATGGAATATTTATTAACTAGAACATTCTGCATACAGGCAGGACCTTGTGAAGCAAAATTTATAGCTTTGTGTTCAGGAATGATTACAAACAAAGATAGCAGAATCAGGGCTTTATTAGAGTACTATGCAACAGTTTTGCTAAATATATGTTAAAGGAATCTGAAAGAATAAAGAGAATCATGAAGATTATCCTAAGGATTCTCCTAAGGAAATTGAGCTTTCTGTGCTACCCAGAGAAGGGCCCAGATGGTACTGGATTCCCGCTGTAACTTAAAGGGAAGCTTTTACAATGTCTGGAACCTGCGATGTCTTGAAAATGAAGGTAGAGGATGTCCTCAAGTTTCTTACAGCAGGAACCCACTTAGGTGGCACCAACCTTGACTTCTAAATGGATCAGTACATCTGGAAAAGGAAAAGTGATGGCATCTATATCCTAAATCTGAAGAGGACTCAGGAGAAGCTTCTGCTGACCGCTCGTGTCATTGTTGCCATTGAAAACTGATGTCAGTGTCATGTCCTCCAGGAATACTGGCCAGAGGGCTCTGCCAAAGTTTGCTGCTGCCACTGGAGCAACTCCAATTGCTGGCTGCTTCACTCTTGGGATGTTCACTAACCAGATCCTGGCAGCCTTTCAGGAGCCACAGCTTCTAGTGGTTAATAATCCCAGGGCTGGCCACTGTCCTCTCACAGAGGCATCTTTTATTAACCTGCTTACTATTGCTCTGTGTTACACAGATTCTCCTCTGTGCTATGTGGACATTGCCATCCCACTCAACAAAGGAGCTCACTCAGTGGGGCTAATGTGGTTGATGGTGGCCCGGGGAGTTCTGCACTTGTGTGGCACCATCTCCCATGAACATCCATGGGAGGTCATGCCTGATCTCTACTTCTACAGAGATCCTGAAGGATTAAAAAGGAAGAGCAGGCTGCTACTGAAAAAGCTATGACCAAGGAAGAAGAATTTCAGGATGAATGGCCTACTGTAGCTCCTGAGTTTGCTGCTACTCAGGCTGAAGTTGCAGACTGGTCTCAAGGTGTGCAGGTGCCCTCTGTGCTTATTCAGCAGGGCTCTGCTGAAGACTGGAGCACTCAAGACTGCCACAGAAGACTGGTCTTCAACTCCCACTTCTCAGGCCACTGAATGGGTAGGAACAACCGCTGAGTGGTCTTAAGCTGTTCTTTCATAGATACTTTTTTTTTTTTTTTCCTCCTGAGACGGAGTATCACCCTGTTGCCCAGGCTGGAGTGCAGTGGTGCGATAGCTGACTACAACATCCACCTCCTGAGTAGCTGGGATTACAGGCGTGCACCACCATGCCCGGCTAATTTTTTGTGTCTTTAGTAGAGATGGGGTTACACCATGTTGGCCAGGCTGGTCTCGAGGTTCTTAAGCTACATGGCAATAAGGTTGTTGGAAAATAAACATTATTGTCTAAAGAAAATAGGAAAGTGAAATATAAAGTTATGAATTTAAAGCTATTTAGAAGGGCATGAAGAAAGACCAAAGAAGTATTCAAACTGAAATTATTCTAAAATGAAATTTCAAATTAAATTTAATCTAGTTTCACATTGCTGATTAAATTTTAGATGACACTGTACAAAGCTATCTGGGAGAGTGAAACCACATGACAAATTTACTGGTTGTCATTTTCTACTTTGTGATTTTAGCCTATAATCAGTTTTAAAGTTCTGATATTTAGAGTGTGCTGCCTCTCTACAACTAAGACCTTTTTGACTTTAACTTTATATCTGTTTAAAGAATCAATATCCCTTCAGAGGTTCTACGATTACAGATTGAAATTACTTTTTAAAAAGTTAACGTCCCAGGTTCTATTAAGACTAGTTTCCGAGGCTGAGCATGGTGGGTCACACCTGTAATCCGAGCACTTTGGGAGGCCAAGGTGGGTGGATCACCTGAGAGCGGGAGCTCGAGACCAGCCTGACCAACGTGGAGAAACCCCATCTCTACTAAAAATACAAAAGTAGCCAGGCGTGGTGGCACTTTCCTGTAATCCCAGCTACTTGGGAGGCTGAGGAAGGAGAATCACTTGAATCCGGGAGGTGGAGGTTGCAGTGAGCTGAGATCACACCATTGCACTCCAGCCTGGGCAACAAGAGAAAAAAAAAAAAAAAGAAAAAAAAAAACTAGTTTCTTTAAAATGTGGATATCAGTTAAAATCTGTGTATTGTATTGCATTTTGAATGCACTGGATTAATTCCATTTTTAAATGAAACGTGGAAAATCTTGTTTTAAGATGAAGAATCCTTGCTAAATAGAATCTCTGAACCCTAAAATGGCTTTTTTAATTGGGAATTTTCAAAATATGAATTTGGTTAGTTACAACAAACAATCAAAATCCTTACCTATGAATTGCCCTCTTCTAAAGCAAGAATGTTCAACTCGGATATCTAGTGGTAAAGCAAAAAGAGATTTCCCTGTTAGTCCTCTTACAGGTTGTGGGCATTGCTTATTTGACTTTGAAACATTAAAGAAGAATGTGTTTCAGGGCAGACATGTTGGTAAAACTGTTTCTGTTACAAAAATTTTAGAGGACAACCCAACGTTTTAATGTGGTGAACCTCATTTATCATCCTGTCACTGCACCATCTTTTTTCAGTTTCATCCTGGACCAGGGTTTCATGGCACAGAAAAAAACCTGGCCATCAAATCATAGCATATGAACAAGTAGATGGCCAAATGTTTGAAAGCATAAACATGCCTCTCTCATTGGGCACTGGTTGAGAGGGTTCGAAGCCCATTATTTGTAATTGCAGTTCAGACTAGGAGAAAAAAAACTCCATCCAGAAGAGAAACGATTGGAATGTTTGTATGGATTTGGGTTTTGATAGCTTCTGTAACATTCCATCACTGTTTGTGTGAGCATTTTCCAATCAGCTGTCCCAACATCAAAGCCATTTCTGCATAATTTTTTTTTCTCTATATTGCTTGTTCTTTTCAAAATTTGGTTTTCTATCCCCTTCTCCCCCAGTCTCAGTGAGATTTGCATTTTAATGTATGATCTGTCTAATGTATTGTCTATTTCACTTCTAACAGTTACATCTCTTACATTTACAAATGTACTTCACCATATTTCTTCCAGACAGTCACCTTTCTTATTATTTTACTGCCCTCATGACATAATATTGTAACTATCTGCAGCTCTTGGACAAAGAGAACCTTTCCAGAAGAGCTTTCAACTTTTTCTCTTTTGCCTTGGAGTATGTCTCTCTACCTCTATTATGTTCTTGTAAGTGATAAATATCTTATGAGTTTTTTTTGTCTATCCATAATGATAATAGAATCTGAGCATTAATATTTATTTTGGTGGACCATGCACAATTTCTAAAATCCATAATTTATTTTCATAACCAATATTACAGTAAATTCATTAAGCATATACACGGTTTGGAGGCTTATTGGCTTAATAGGTTCAATTCATAGAAAAGGATAATTCACTACCTACTCAAAAGCATCCTACCTTGAGAGTCAGCTAAGTGGGGAAAGGAAAAATATGCTTTTCTCTTCAGACAGCCTTTGTATCAGTGTTTCAGTAACATACATGACTACTTATTGCCATTTCATTTCTTCTCTTTGAATATTGCCTTTGCCTCTCCTGGGACAGTAGAGTTAATCTTATAGGAATACCTAATTCCACGAATTCCTTAGAATAGTATAAGGCTGTGCAGTGATTGGCCCTTACCTTGCTCTCTGGTCTCTCCTTCCACCACCGGCTTCTGAGAGGTTCGCAGTCTTACATCTTGAAAACCACTTTCAGTTTGTGAAATGGACCAGGATTCTTCTTTTTCTTTTCTTTTTCTCTCTTTTATTTTTTTTTTTGAGACAAGGTCTCACACTCTCACACAGACTGGAGTGCAGTGGCATGATCATTGCTCACTGCAGCCTCTACCTCACTGGCTCAAGCGATCCTCTCACCTCAGCCTCCTGAGTAGCTGGGACCACAGGCATACGCTACCATGCCAGACTAGTCTTTTTTTGTTTGTCTGTTTTTGTTTGTTGTTGTTGTTGTTGTTGTTTAGAGACAAGGTCTCACGCTGTTGCCCAGACTGGTCTTGGGGTCCTGGGCTCGAGTGATCAACTGCCTCAGCCTCCCAAAGTGCTAGGACTGCAGGTGTGAGCCACTTCACTCAGCCAGACCAGGATTCTTTCAAGTTTTGGTGACATTACTTATATTTTTCCCTATTTTTGGAATATTCTCCCCATCTGATTGCACTGGAACAGCTTTCTAACATTTTTTTCAAGGCTTTGTTAAACCATAAAATTAAAAAAATAAAAAAACATTCCTTGAGATTAATTCTCCTGGCTGTGTTGTGCAATCCTTCTAGGTGCCTGCATGCTCTGTGCTTATCTTTAATGATAATAACCCTTTATGTGTTTTAAATCATTTACTCATTCTGACAAGCATATTCAGTAAACAACTGTAGTTATCATCAGTCCTATTTTATGAATGTAGAAAATAATGCAAAGAAAATTAAGTTACTTACCCAATGTCTCACAGCTAATGGTAGAACAAATTTTGAAGAGGTCTGTGACAGGACTGTCCATTAGAAGTCGAATATGAACTAAAAATGCTATGCAATTTTTAAAAAATTTCAAGTAGATATATTACAAAAGCAGAAAGAAACAGGTGAAATTCATTGTACTGTTATTTTATTCTCAATATCATTTCAACATATGACCTATAAAAATGAGATTTTTTTTATTTCTTCACACTGAGTTTTCATATCCAGTGTACATTTTAAACTTAAAGCAGATCTTGATTCAGACTAGCATTCTAGAACACATGTGCCTAATTGCTACCTTTGTTCAACAGCACAAGTCTTTACTCTTAATTACAGCACCCCTCTTTGTATTGAAATAGTTTTATTTGCCTACCTGCCCCATTCTACTGTGTGCATCTTTACTAGGTGAAGAATGTGCTATTCATTTCTTTATTTCAAGTATATAGACTAGTTAGTGCCTAAGATATAGAAACAATAAATGCTTATGGAATTTTGTTGCTGCAGTATTGCAGTGGCTTCAGAGTACAGAGATTTTTGGATACTCTTTTTAGCAATCATTGTAGAATTGAAAATCTAAAAGATTCAAAACGCTTGACAAAATTTCTAGAAGGCATGTATTTGCCTGTTAGACTTCTGAGCAGGTCATACAAGAAGATTGGGAAGCTATCCTGGAAGTTAGCTGTAGCCCCTACAGACAGTAGAATATGCCAAGTTTCCACTTTAAGAGTGCATGTAAATGCTATGACTTTTACTAAAACCACATGGCAATATAATAAATGAAAATGTGGTCTAAACGTGTTCTGGAACATTTCCTAATTATTATAACATATTGTATTTTGTTATCATTATTTAGTAGAAAAATGGGATCAGAATTAGCATTGTAATATTATTTTGGTAAAATTATGAATGGGATCATGCCTCATACATAGTAGATGCCTAATAATTATTAATCTGATTTGATTTATTTGAGCCAGGGTTAGTAAGTTCAACTTCTACTGGTTTCTGTTATTTATTTGAGAACCTATTCAACTTGCCATCATTGGGACAAGCTGGGACAGTTCCTTAAAATGAACTCTATTAGAGTCAAATTGTTCCATCTGTTTTCCCTAAATGAAAGAAGATTCCCTTGATGCTAGTCAATGAGTGAGGGCTCCTTGACTCAGAACCAGATGCAAGCTTTATACCAGCCTTCCATTTCAGCCCAATTACATTCTTGGCAGCCTGTGAGACTCATGGGGTAAACTTTTTATAACAATTATCAATATCAGCCAATTTTTCAGAATGGGCAGGAATAAACTTCAATGGCTCCAGGATGAGTTTTCTGTCTTCCAAAGCCTCTGTCTGGCTGGCTGCCATGGAGAATATGTAGGAGCATAAAGGCTGCTGTTTTATGTAACACTCTAGAAATCAGCTAACTTTATGACTACTTAGAGTTTTAGGATTTTATCAATCTAAATTAATTATTTAATATTGGCTTAGGCTACTTTTTTGTGACATAGAGAACATTATTTTTATTCCTGTGATACAGACCTCCAAGGTGTGTGTGTACATTACATAGCAATGACTGGAGTCTGGTTTATTGTTGACTCCCTCATAAAGCTATTGTGGACGAAAGAGAGAAAGCATCTTACTGATGGGATATAGAATCAGTGAAAACCTGGAACCATTGAATTCCCATTGGGTTAGTGTGTGTATATTAGGATGGGAGGTTTGGGGAAGTAGAGTGGAAATTGATGGTGTTATGAGATGACGTCGTGACCTTTAACTCAGGAATGACTCAATCCTGTCAATATCTAACAATCCCTATACATTGTGATCTCAGGTAGATTGTTTTGCAATGGCAATGGCAATTATGAACACACACTATTATTCACTGAATGTTCATAATCACAAAGGGAAATTGTTTCTTAAATTGCAATAGGACACCAAGATTTTTCTCAAGGTTCAAGAGAAAACTTTTCTGTTTTGAGAAGTTTGAAAACTAAAACAAAGAAAGCATTCATATGATAAGAGAAGAAAGTGAGAAGACACGAGTCCTCTGTCCTCTTAGCCAGGCTCTAATGGGTTCAGCCCATGGAGGTAGGAATTAGAAAACATCATAGACCATATCGACTTGAACTGCTTAGAAATTCAGCCACAGATTTTCTGAAGCGTGAGAACGGACTAATACAAAAAATCACTTTTGTTATGCATTAGCAAAGAACTTGGAGGCATTTTGCCCATGCCTTATGGATCTTTGGAACTTTGAACTTAAGAGTGATGGATTAGGGTATCTGGTAGAAGAAATTTCTAAGGAGCAACTGATTCAAGATGTGGCCAGGCTGCTTCTAAAAGCCTATATTCGTATGTGCGAGCAAAAAATGACCTGAAACTGGAACTTATATTTAAAAGAAAAACAGAGTGTAAAAGATTGGACAATCTGCACCCTGACCATGTGATAGAAAAAAAAAAAAAAAGCCCATTTAACAGGGAGGAATTCAAGCAGGTGGCAGAAATTTGCATAAGTAAAGAGGAGCCAATTACTAATAGCCAAGACAATGGGGAAAGAGCCTCCAAGGCATTTCAGAGACATTTGTGGCATCCACTCCCATAATAGGCTCAGAGGCCTAGGAGGACTGAATGGTTTCATGGGCCAAGCCCAGGGCCCCACTGCCCTGTTCAGCCTTGGGACACTACTCCCCATATCTCACTCTGCTCCAGCTCCAGCCAGAAAATTTGCAGCCTAGTCATTTGGTAGAAAAGAAAAGCCATTTGCAGGGGAGGAATTCAAACAGGCTGCAGAAATCTGCATAAGTAATGAGGAACCAGTTGCCAATAGCCAAGACAATGGGAAGGCCTTGAAGGCATTTCAGAGACCTCCATGGCAGTACTTCTCCTCACAGGCCCAGAGACTTAGGAGGTCTGAATGGTTTTGAGGGCCAAGTCCAGGGCCCCACGGACCTGTGCAGCCTTGGGACACTACTCCCTGCATCCCAGTCACTTCACCACTAGCCATGGCTCAACAAGGCCCAGGTACAACTCAGGCCACCACTTCAGAGGATGCAAACTGTAAGTATTGGTGGCTTCCAAGTGGTGTTAAGCCCATGGGTGCACAGAATGCCAAAGCTGAGCCTTGAGAGCTCCTGCCTAGATTTCAGAGAATGTATGGAAAAGCCTGGATGTCCTGGCAGAAGCCTGCTGCAGGGGCAGAGCCCTCATGGAGAACCTCCAGGAAGCCAATGTGGAGGGAACATGTGGGGTTGGAGTCCCCACACAGAATCCCCAGTGGAGGACTGTCTAGTGGAGCTGTGAGAAGAGGGCCACCATCCTTTAAACCCCAGAATGGTAGATCCACCAGTAGCTTTCACATTTAGCCTGGAAGAGCCACAGGCACTCAACGCCAGCCCATGAGAACAGTTGTGGGGGCTAAACCCTAGAAAGCCACAGGAGTGGAGCTGCCCAAGGCTTTGGGAGCCCTCCTTTTGCGTCAGTGTGACCTGGATTGAGACATGGAATCAAAGAAGATTATTTTGGAGCTTTAAGATTTAATGACTGCTTTTCTGGGTTTCAGACTTGCACAGAGCCTATAGCCTCTTTCTTTTGACCAATTTTTCCATTTTGGAAAGGGAATATTTACCCAATGCCTATACCAACATTGTATCTTGGAAGTAACTAACTTGTTTTTGATTTTACAAGCTCATATGCAAAAGGAACTTGCTTTGTCTCAGATAAGACTTTGAGTTAATACTGGAGTGAGTTAAGACTCGGGGGGACTCTTGAGAAGATATGATTGTATTTTGAAATGTAAGAGAGCCATGAGATTTGGAAGGTGCCAGGGGTTGAATAATATGGCTTGGATTTGTGTCCATACCCAAATCTCATGTGGAATTGTAATCTCCAATGCTGGACCTAAAGCCTGATTTGAGGTGATTGGATCAACAGGGCAGATTTTCCTTTCGATGTTGTTTTGTGATAATGAGTGAGTTCTCATGAGATCTGATGTTTTAAAAGCGTGTGGTACCTCTCCACTTTCCCTCATTCTGCAGCCGTGTAAGACATGCCTGCTCCCCCTTTGCCTTCCACCATAATTGTAAGCTTCCTGAGGCCTCTCCAAAAGTAGAAGCCACTATACTTCCTGTACAGCCTATAGAACTATGAGACAATTAAACCTCTTTTCTTTACAAATCATCCAGTCTCAGGTATTTATTTGTAGCAGTACAAGAACAAGCAAATACAGAGAGCCAATGCATCACATGGCCAGAGTAGAAGCAAAAAAGTTAGGGGTAAGATGCCACACATATTTAAATAGCCAGATATTGTAAGATCTCACTATCATGAGGACAGCACCAAGGATATGGCACTAAGCAATTAATGAGAAACCTGCCACCATAATCCAATCATCTCCTACCAGGCTCCACTTCCAACATTGGGGAATGACATTCAGTATGAAATTTAGAGAGTACAACATCCAAACTGTGTTAATACTGTTACAGAAATACTCAACAAAATACTAACAAACTGAATTTAGCAACATGTTTAAGAGATTATACACCATGACCCACTGGGATTATTCCTGTGCTAGGATGGTTCAACATATAAAAATCAATCATGTAATACACTACATTAACAGAATGAAAGATAAAAATTACATGATCATCACAATTGATACAGAAAAAATCATTTAATAAAAAATTAATACCCTTTCGTGATGAAAACTCTCAACAAACTAGGAATAAAAGAAAACTATTTCAATATATTCTAATCCACACATGAGAAACCCATAGCACACATTACTCGCAATGGTGAAATTGCTGAAAAATTGTCCTTGAAGATCAGAAAAATGATAGGATGCTCACTTTTGCCACTTCTATTCAACATAGTACTGGAATTTCTGATCAAGGAAATTAGCCAAGAAAAAGAAATAAAAGCCTTGGAAACTGGAAACAAAGAGGTAAAATTACTTCTGTTTACACATGATGTGGTCTTAGAAAATTTTAAAGATTTCCAAAAAGTTTGTTAGAACTAATTAAAAACAATAAGCAAAGTGACAGGGTACAAAGTCAATACACAAAAATCAGTTGCATTTTGATACACTAACAAACAACCCAAAAGAGGAAATTAAGAAAACAGTTCTATTTGTAGTAGCACCAAAAGGATTAAAATATTTAAGAATTTAGTTATCTAAAGAGATAAAAGTCTTGCATACAAAAAGCTACAAAGCATTCCTGGAAAAAAAAGATATATATTAATGAAAAGCTATTCCACATACATGGATTGAGAGACAGTATTGTTAAGATGCCAATAATGTCCAAAACAATATACACAGATTAATGTAGTCCTTATAAAAATCCCAATGATTTTTTGCATAAATAGACAAACCCTTCCTAAAACTTATATGGAATCTTAAGGTATCCAACTAATCAGTACAATCCTCAATATAGAATAACAAAGCATTGAGCTCATACTTCATGATTTCAAAATTTACTGCAAAGCCACAGTAATCAAAACAGTGTGGTAATGGTGTGTTAGCCCTTTTTTTGTGTGTTGCTATTATACATATAAAGACATACCTGAGGCTGGGTAATTTATAAGGAAAATGGGATGTATAGGAAGCATGGTGCTGGCATCTACTTGGCTTCTGGTGAGGCCTCAGGAAGCTGTCGATCATGGCAGAAGGAAAAAGGGTAGCTGGCATCTCACATTGTGAGCAGGAGCACAAGAGTAGGGGCAGGTGCCACACTCTTTTAAACAACCAGATCTCATGTGAACTCGGAGTGAGAACTCACTCATTACCAAAAGGATGGCACTAAGCCATTCATGAGGGATCCAGCCCCGCAATCTAGTCAGCTTCCACCAGGCCCCACCTCCAACACTGGGGATTGCATTTCAATGAGATTGGGAGGGGAGAAACAGCCAAACCACATCTATTGGCATAACAACAGACATATAGACCAATGGAATAGAATAGAGGGCCCAGAAATAAATTCTCAAATATGTGGTTAACTTATTTTCAACAAGGGTATTGAGACCTCAGTGAGGAAAAGACAGTACTTTCAACAAATGTCATTGGGAAAATTGTTTATCTACATGCAACAGAATGGAATGGGATTGTTAACTAAAATGATGTTTAAAAACTAGTTCTAAGTGAATCTATCACTTAAGTGTTAAACCTAAAACTATAAAACATTTAGAAGAAAGCAGGACAAAAGCCTCAAGATTTGGGTTTGGCAGTAATATTTCTTGGAAATGACATCAAATGCACAGACAGCGCAAGAAAATATACACAAATTGGACTTATAAATTTTTTTAAGTGTGCATCAAAAGACATCATCCACAGAGCCATAAGGTAATCCATAGATTGGGAAGAAATATTTGCAAGTCATATCTATGGTAAGGGATTAATATCCAGAACATATAGAAAATGCCTACAACTCAACAAGAATTACAAAACAAACAGCATAATTGATAGACAAAGGAGTTACATGAATATTTTTCCAAAAAGATATGCAAATATCCAATAATCATGAAAAAAGATGCTCAATGTCACTAATCATTAGGAAAATGCAAGTTAAAACCACAATTTGATACCACATCACATTCACTATGATGCATACTATCAGAAAGAAAGTAAATAGAAAATATTTGGTGATGACGTGGAGAAACTGAAAGTCTTGTGCACTATTTGGTGGGAATGTAAAATATTATAGCTGCTGTGGGAAACAGTATGATGTTTCCTCACAAAATTAAATGCAGAATTACTGTATGATCTATAAATTATTCTTCTGGATAAATACCCAAATGAATTGAATGCACGGTCTTAAAGAGATTTTTATGTACCCCTATTCATAGCAGCATTATTCACAAAAGCTAAAATGTGGAAGCAACCTAAGTGTCCATTGATGGATGAGTTGGATAAACAAAATGTGGGATATACATACAATGGGATGTTATTCATCCTTAGAAAGGAAGGAAATTCTGACATATGCTACAACATGGATGAACCCTCTAAGGTTCATCCATGCTAAGGGAAATAAGCTAGTGGCAAGTAGACAAATACTGTATGACTTTATTTATATGAGGTACTTAGAGCAGTCAAAATCATAGACACAGAAAGTAAAATAATGGTTTCCAAGAAGTGCAGTAAGGAATGAAGAGTTACTGTTTAATGCGTACAGATTTTCAGTTTTGCAAGATGAAAGGGGTTCTGAAGATAGGTGGTGGCAATGGTTATCCAACAATATGAATGTACTTAATACTGCTCAGTTGAAAACTTAAAATGGTTAGTATGGTATATGATAAATTTTATATTGTGTGCAATTTACTATAATTAAAAAATGAGGAAGAAACACAGTTTAATTTTAAATAAAAACACACATGTATATATATATATAAATTTTTGATGTGATAAAATATGGTCTCCCATAAGACCAGGAGGACTTAATCAAATTTGCTCCAGCTTTATGACCTTCTTTAGCCCCTCTGAAAGTCATCACTCCATATTTGCTGAGGTTCGAAGTTGGGTGTGCACCAGTCTGGTAGAGACTAGCTCCACTTTTAGCCATATGCTGTTGTGCTGCTACCATGGTTTCTCACATTTGTTAACTGACACTGACAAGGCTGAAAGAAGCAGTGGCATGCACCTTGCAGGGGAGACATGAATGCGTCCACACCTGAATTTGCCATGTTCAGACCTCAGTTATTTCCCCTAATAGAACAAATTCTGATAGTACGAGGAATGTTGAGAGCTACCCCTTCAACTATAGCCTCTGGGTGCTGCAGGCCATAACCAGGTCGGGTGTGTGCTATAAGGGGGTGGAGATCAAGCAGCACCATCCCCTGGGGCAGCTATTAAAATTTTCACTTCCAAATTGTATTTAAAGTCTGTCTCCCATTGGAATTCTGGCTCCCCCGTTCTCTTAATTGTATGATGTTAGTCCACTTAATTAAGTTCCCTGGAGTTCAATTTTCTTTATGTAAATATAATAATTTTGTTTATGTAAATATAAGAATTAAATGAGATAAGTATAAATGTCTAACAAAATGTCCTTCCCATTGTAGGTGTTAAGAAATGGCCCTTTCTTTTAATGTACTGCATAACTGAATTTTTTTCTTACTGACTAGGTTATAGGTGCCTTTTCCCCTCCTCGTTCCTACTTCCTAGGGACATGGTAAACACTTAACAAGTAGTTTATTGAGATTGAAAAAATGTATTCATTCTATTGTTGCTTGTTGGTTCTATCAGAACACTTTGATAGGAACAAAAATGGTGATTTTCTATATCATATCTGTATCTTTGAAGACAGTTATCTACCCTTTTATCATATTTGTGCTTCCAGCTGTGCCAAGAGCAAATGTTATAGAGTTAAAACGCGGGTGAGGTGAGGCAGGATCTGCAGACTGTGGCTCTTATCTGCTTAATGATGTGTACAGTAAGTGTCATATTAGGAAGAAGAACAGGAAGGCTCATCTTTTTGAAGCAGAAACATAATGTTCAGTATAAAGAATCTCATATCATGTTTTCTAAAAAATTGTATGCGAAAAAAATGGTGAAATAAAATGCTTAAGGAGAGACATCTGTTCTCTCTGATTCTTTAACCCACTTTAGACTTGGAGAAGCAAAGAAAAGCAACAGTTTAATTCTTGTGTTTCTTTAGGTCCAGATCTTTAGCTCTTGCATAAAAGTGAGCAAGCTGCCATCTGTGCAAACAGGTGGCTTGAATTAAATATGATGCTAAGTATTAGAACAATTATATTTCTAGCATGGCAGGAAGTGACAAAATTAAGAAAACCCAGGGTACTTTTAGTAAGATGAGATATGTGAGCCATAAACTGTGTCTAAGAAGATAAAGTATGAAAATATATGTTCAAAAGGAGCTAAACAACTGCATGCTTCACATTTGCCTCCAGTAATTCAAGAAGAGATGAAGTGCAATTACTCATATGCCCCTTTCAACATACTACTGTGGGTCAACTGGGTCCATCATAGAACAGTATTAGGGAAGATCTTCTATGTCATGAATAAAGAGTTGCTCAACTGTGGCTTAATTATCATTTAATAGTGACTCTCTTAGCTTCATAAAGTACATTCTTCAAAGCTTGAAGCTAAGTAGAAAGGCAAAAGAACACACAGGTTGGAGGGTAAGCTTAAGGAAGCAGTATAAGCATCGTTCATTCATTCAGAGATAACCGGTATTGCAGTAAGTAGGCTGGACTTGGAATCGTAATTCAGGAGTTTTAGTTGCTGATTCTTCACTGGGTTCAATGAGGCTTTTTTGATGACTTTTTCATCATGGATGAAATGAAGTCGTTGGACAAGATGACCTCCTTGGTTCCGTCCAGCTCTACAAAACATTTTGGAGCCAATTATTTTGTCGACTTTTTTCTCAGGGGTCCTTTATAGAAACAGTGTATAAAATTTACTGATAAAGTAATTAACTCTTTTTGACAGTTTTCCTTCAGTTAGATTAATATTTTCAGGGTTCATCTATCTTGTACTATGTATCATTATTTCATTCTCTTTTATTGATAAAAATACTTCATTATATGAACATATCACCTGCATATGATTAATGTATTTAATATTGTCAACTTATTCAGAATATAAATACTATTTGTAGAGCCCTATATTAGTAGAGGTAAGGATGAGAATATTCAAATTAAATGAGAAGGATTACACATAGCAACTATAACACAAGAACAAACCATTTTTGTTTCAAAGTTGGTAAAAAGTTAAACTTTACTTGGAGTAGATGAAACAAATACCAGGCAAATGGCACATTGTTTTGTTTCATATTACACCAGTAGTTTCGGTTTTACAGCCAAAATATATCTAAAGTTTTGTATTTGAAACTTTTGTCATCTCAGTTGTTTCCGTTTTGGTCATCACTATTTTTTCATATACCTTTAAAAAATAAATTTATTGATATAAAATCATATAGCATAAAATTCACCCTTTTATTTTTTAAAAATAATTTTTATTGTGTCTATTTAATGTATGTATACATCATAATGTTATAAGATTATATATATATATATCTGCATACATAGTAAAATAGTTAGTATAGGGGAACAAATTAGCATATTCATCATCTCACATAGTTACCCATTTTTTCCTCCTTGTGATAAAAACAGCTATGAAATTTGCCTTTTTAAAGTGTACAATTCATTGTTTTTAGTATATTCATAGAATTGTCTAACCATCATTGCTGTTCATTTCTGAAATGAGTTCATCATCTCCAAAGGGAAATCTAGTACACAGTCATTTCTGATTTTCCTCCCCCCAGTCTCTAGCAATCACTAATCTACTTTCTATTTCTATGGATTTTCCTATTTGAACATTTCCTATAGATTGAATTATGCCATATGCAGCTCTTTATGACTGTCTTCTTTCAGTTACATTCATATTTTTAAGGTTTATTCCTCGTGTACCATGTATCATTCCTTCATTCATCCTTATTGACATATAAATACCAATATTATTATATGGATATATCACATTTTATCAATTAATCAGTTCATGATACTGGGATGGCTTCCTTTCATCATAGCCTTACTACCTTAACATCTTCTTATTTTTTCTTTTCATTATGTGTGGGTGATTAACCTCTGGGATTTTACTCTATTCTTGCTTTGTTGTCTCATCCAGTTTATATATGAATTCCAAAATGCTCAAAATGGGAATACTTAGACACTAATTCAATGAGATACATAAATACCAAATATATACTCAGTCTTATTCAAAGTAATTGGGTAAATAAGGAAATTTTAATATTTTCTTCTAAAAAGAGTACACAGCCATTTTGATGGTTAATGGTAGTATCTGATAACAGGATGAAATGTAGGTAGGGTGGAGAATTAAAAAATGCTTACTAAATCATGGTAGTTACGTTACCTCCATCATCATCATACTCAAGATCACTTTATTGGATACATACTCTGTGGAAGGTACTTCATTTTTAATATGTATTATAGTATTTGATATTAAAACAACTTATTTTGGACATGTAGGATTTTTAAAAAATTATTTCAGATGACAAAAGTAAATTACAGATAGCTAATGTAACCAGCTCCAAAATTAAATACTGTTATGTAGAAGAGTCAGAATTTCAACCCAAATCTCTGAAACATACTCCTTCTTCGTTCTTTCACTGCCTGATATGTCTATCTGTCTGTCTATCTATCTATCTATCTATCTATCTATCTATCTATCTATCTGTATGTGTATGTGTGTGCATTTGTGTCTGTGTGTGTAAAACTAATATTGTTTGGGAGGAATTCATAATTCATAGAAGAGGTGGACTTTCAAATTGCCCATGATGTTAGATGAGGAAAATTTGGTTAATCGTGATGAGAAGTGAGGCAGGGTCACTAGTTTGAAGAAAACAACCACAGCAATAAAAAATGTACTCTCCACATTCATGTTCTAACACTGATTGATGTTAAGTTGTAGGTTTAGAGTTCAGCCTTACTGGCAGACTTACTTGTAAATTCCGACTGCTCCTTGGCCAATCTGATTATTCTTAACAACTCAACAGGAGACTTGAAACTTTAATGGAGATTTGTGATTCTCCCAGGGCGTATATCTATATCTTCTCAGCAGTGTCAGACTGATCTGCTGCCAACATGTTTTTCCCCCTCTCAGTAAAATAAATCTCTGACTACACATCCTGGCAAAAGCACACATTTCTCCTGGCAAGCTTCCTCAATGGGCATCGAATATCTTGAGATTTCAGACAAAATCATTTTTCTCCAGGGGAAACATGACTCGTGTAGATGACAGGACCCCAGACAAACAGCAAACTCTGCTCAGAATTTTAACAATTACTAAAAACATATTTCCTATCACAGACTCATTTTTTTTTGCCACCAGTACACCCCCCCCCCACACACAAACACACAGGTGCACACATACATGTGCACATAGTCAATTTTCCTGTACTTACCTGCATTATGAAATGCCAAACTTATGGTGAGTTTGGAGAGGCAATTTTTTTTTTTTACAAATAATACCCTCCATAAATAAACATAGTTATTATGAATGCACACTCATTGTGTAATAGATCTGTGGTTTGTGTCACTTAGCCAACTTTGATCATTTTCTGTCATCCAGAAAATAACTTCTTTCTTAACAACCAACACATAATCAATGCTTGGCAGTAATGGGCATGTGATTTAGGTTTGTGCCTAATTAGCACATTGCATACCACTAATGTACAGCACAGGAATGAGTACCTGGACCATCTATGACCAATGAAAGCAAGGGACCTCCTACTGAGAACCCTGGAAAATATAGTTTTGGTTTTTTTATGTTGTCTTGAAAGTGACAGGCTGTAGGGATTCCATATGCTATAGTCATTTTTTGATCATGAAGAGAAAGCTTGTCTGAATGGAGCCATCTGAAAGAAAACTATGGTAAGATATTAGTCATGCCCCTGATGACAACACTGAAGTATCTGTATCAAGTCATGCATGTCTGCATGAAGCCCTACATGCAGTCAGCCAGTTCGGGAGGTAATCTCATTCAGGCAGGAGTTTCTGATACTTCAAAAAGCAATAAATAGTCCTTTAGTTTTCTCCCACCTCCTACCTAAAATAGAAAATGGTAACAATGACTTATCTATCAATTCTTAGCTGATCATCCTTCTTCTAAAAACATTAACTTGTATATCGTGTCACGTGCCTGTAGTCCCAGCTACTTGGGAGGCTGAGGCAGGAGAATCGCTTGAACCCGGGAGGCAGAGGTTGCAGTGAGCTGAGATTGTGCCACTATACTCCAGCTGGGCAACAGAGCAAGACTCCATCTCAAAAACAAACAAACGAACAAATATTAACTTGTATAATAGCTGTTTACAGTTAGGTAAGTTACATCCTGGGCATAAGAACAAATATGATTAAGTCCATTATACAATTTTAGGCTCATCAGCATTTTTTCTTAATCATCTGAATTTTTCTCATAAACTTTAACACTGTTCCAAAAAAAAAAAAAAAAAACAAACAAAAACCTTAAAGCCTACATATGCTTGAGAAGTTATTTTATCCAAAGAAAAACGACAACCTATTGCCCAAAGTTATTGCCTCATTTCCACTTGCTATTACCTTAGAACTAACTAGTGTTTTGATATTAGTAACCATCCTATAACTATTTCTTTGTAAGTATTTTCATATATTTTATATTCGTGCCCTTCATTCTTGGGTCTGATTGTTGTTAAGTATGTGAATTTTAATTATTCTTTCTGTCACTTCTTTTAATGTTGTTTCTGTTTAAATGAATGCAATACTACCAATTTATTCAACTAAATCAATTTTCTATTTAATTAAGTCTTACTTTATGGTTTAATTATATACTTGGATTACAGTGATCAATCTTCTCTCTAGAGATTTAACTGAAATATGCAGAAATTGATAAAGGTAAAGTTATGTCATTATGCATTTGAAGAGTCATAGCATCTGTTGTTTAGATGTATGAATTAGTTTTCCAGACAACAAAATTCTTCAATACTACTCTATGCAATTATGTTGAGAACTATAACATCTATTAATATGTTCCTTTTGTCTACATTTTAAATACAGCCACTTTTTCTTTGTATATTTCAGTTATGATATTGCAATTTATTTTTCTTTCTATAATGTCAACTGAGAGTGTTAAGCTTTTGAAATAGCCAATGGTGAATTTTTAGTGTTTAGTGACATAGTATAATGCCTAATCTATAATTTTAAGGAATAAAGTCTGATCTAAACCTTGATATGTTCATGATTGCCACTGTGTATTTTATAAGGGAACATATTAAAATTATCAGTTAGTTTCCCTTGACATGTTTGCATTACACAAATTTTCCACAGTGGATTTATATTATTTTAAAATCGGAAAATATAAAAAATTATTGTCTTTGACCCATATGTCTTTTTCTTCTATCACCTTTTGTATGTCAATATGCTGATATTAACCATGACTACAGAAATATTTTCATAAGGGTGAGAAAACTTGCTTAAGTTTTACTGGCACTAGTAACATATCCATCTGTCCATTCAACTGAAATGCTAATGAGAAGACATTGCATCTTGAAAAGAAAGACATAGCTTTATCAAAGATGTTGGAGATTAAACATGTTTGTCAATTGGACAATGTCAACAATGCAGTTTAGATGTTACTTTAAAATAAGCTCTATTTTCTGCATGTATCACTGCAGTGTAGAGTTCTAGACCTTTGGGATCATATAAACACATCAATCTTTATATTTACTTTATATGAGATGCTCAAGTGGAAGAGAAGCATGAATCTGCTTACATCTTTCCTTTGCCTGGTGATTTAAATAGACTGGACCATTCAACAAGAGTGTTGAGTGTATGAGTATGAAGTCTAGAAACTTTTGGTAAGAGTTTTAACTGAAGAAAGTTAATCAGTTAAAGCTGGTGGTTATGCTACTATTCTGCAAACAACCCTTCTGGTGGGAAAATATATTTAAAATTCTAGAGAGAGATTTTATTTTCCTCTTATGCTATCTTTTTGCAAATAATCCAAAGAATGAAATGGTCGTGTGAAAATTGCTGCTATTCACATTTTAGCTACAAATCAGAAAAACATCATTTAGTTGAGTGGCTATCAACTGCTCCATTATCTAGCCTGAAAAAGGCTCTTTATCACAGGAAGTACCATTCATAGGATCGGCACTTCCACAAGAATTAATAATGATTACTTACAATTATGATGACTTTTAAATAAAAACGAACTTTATTCTGGTTACTTTTTAGGTAAATGCTTTTATTTTGGATATCTAACTTTATCTTATTTACCAGGGATTTGATTCATTTTTTAAAACAACAGACAAACAGAGAGCCAAATCATGAGTGAACTCCCATTCACAATTGCTTCAAAGAGAATAAAATACCTAGGAATCCAACTTACAAGGGATGTGAAGGACCTCTTCAAGGAGAACTACAAACCACTGCTCAAGGAAATAAAAGAGGACACAAACAAATGGAAGAACATTCCATGCTCATGGGTAGGAAGAATCAATATCGTGAAAATGGCCATACTGCCCAAGGTAATTTACAGATTCAATGCCATCCCCATCAAGCTACCAATGCCTTTCTTCACAGAATTGGAAAAAACTACTTTAAAGTTCATATGGAACCAAAAAAGAGCCCGCATCGCCAAGTCAATCCTAAGCCAAAAGAACAAAGCTGGAGGCATCACACTACCTGACTTCAAACTATACTACAAGGCTACAGTAGCCAAAACAGCATGGTACTGGTACCAAAACAGAGATATAGATCAATGGAACAGAACAGAGCCCTCAGAAATAATGCCGCATATCTACAACTATCTGATCTTTGACAAACCTGACAAAAACAAGCAATGGGGAAAGGATTCCCTATTTAATAAATGGTGCTGGGAAAACTGGCTAGCCATATGTAGAAAGCTGAAACTGGATCCCTTCCTTACACCTTATACAAAAATCAATTCAAGATGGATTAAAGATTTAAACATTAAACCTAAAACCATAAAAACCCTAGAAGAAAACCTAGGCATTACCATTCAGGACATAGGCGTGGGCAAGGACTTCATGTCCAAAACACCAAAAGCAATGGCAACAAAAGACAAAATTGACAAATGGGATCTAATTAAACTAAAGAGCTTCTGCACAGCAAAAGAAACTACCATCAGAGTGAACAGGCAACCTACAACATGGGAGAAAATTTTCGCAACCTACTCATCTGACAAAGGGCTAATATCCAGAATCTACAATGAACTCAAACAAATTTACAAGAAAAAAACAAACAACCCCATCAAAAAGTGGGTGAAGGACATGAACAGACACTTCTCAAAACAAGACATTTATACAGCCAAAAAACACATGAAAAAATGCTCACCATCACTGGCCATCAGAGAAATGCAAATCAAAACCACAATGAGATACCATCTCACACCAGTTAGAATGGCAATCATTAAAAAGTCAGGAAACAACAGGTGCTGGAGAGGATGCGGAGAAATAGGAACACTTTTACACTGTTGGTGGGACTGTCAACTAGTTCAACCATTGTGGAAGTCAGTGTGGCGATTCCTCAGGGATCTAGAACTAGAAATACCATTTGACCCAGCCATCCCATTACTGGGTATATACCCAAATGAGTATAAATCATGCTGCTATAAAGACACATGCACACGTATGTTTATTGCGGCACTATTCACAATAGCAAAGACTTGGAACCAACCCAAATGTCCAACAGTGATAGACTGGATTAAGAAAATGTGGCACATATACACCATGGAATACTATGCAGCCATAAAAAATGATGAGTTCATATCCTTTGTAGGGACATGGATGAAATTGGAAACCATCATTCTCAGTAAACTATCGCAAGAACAAAAAACCAAACACCGCATATTCTCACTCATAGGTGGGAATTGAACAATGAGATCACATGGACACAGGAAGGGGAATATCACACTCCTGGGACTGTGGTGGGGTCGGGGGAGGGGGGAGGGATAGCATTGGGAGATATACCTAATGCTAGATGACACATTAGTGGGTGCAGCGCACCAGCATGGCACATGTATACATATGTAACTAACCTGCACAATGTGCACATGTACCCTAAAACTTAGAGTATAATAAAAAAAAAAAAAAAAAAAATATGTATCTCTCATGCCATGTTGTAAAACAAACAAACAAAGAAACAAAAAACATACCTTTTAGAGTGTATGGCTATTTTGGAAATCCAAAAGAACAGTCTTTTAGTTACATTGCAATGATCGGTGATTAACGTTTAAAATATAGTAAGTAAAAGATATCTTATTTGAATGAGGCAAACAATTAATAGGCTAACACAGATTCCAGCAAACTTTTTATTTAAAGAACCAGAGGGTAAATATTTAAGGCTTTGCGGGCCATATTTTCTCTGTTGCAACTACTCAACTATGCTGTTATAGTGCATAAGCAGCCATGAGCAATAAATAGATGTAGCTGTGTTCTTTACAAAAACAGTTCTTAGAAAGCCAGATTAGCCCAATGCTGTAGTTTATGGACCCCTGATCTAGTATACTGTAAACCAAAAATAAAACCCTAAGGCCCCCAACAGACCAAACAGACTCTCTCTTGGCCAAGAGGACCCCAGAAAAACCTGAAAACCTGAATTCCTGGCTGTGATGGGAAGGGATGTTGAACCCTCTTCTTTATATCTCCTTCCTTTTGGAATTTAAGCACAACTGACCAGCATTCAGGTTAAAATAGAGATCACAAGAATAACAAAACAGTCCCTTTGTGGCTAATTAAAAACAAATAAAAGGCCATGCAAGGCAAAGGTTAAGTCCCATCCTACAAACCAAAAAATTTTGTAAAACTGGCGCTTTTTTTTTTTTTTAAATTAAGCTGGTACAATTTGACTTAATTTCTAACCTAACTACAGATAGCAGACCCTGAAGGAAACAAACATATTTTACCCCAAAATATATTTTTTGTTATATTTTGAAATGGCCCCACAAAACCATCTTTTGTAGGGAAAATTTGGATCTGCAGACAATCTCTATTAATGTAACCAGACCTTCCCTTTCCCAAGCCTTTCCCAGATCTAGGGGAGATTAGCTGACAGTCTGACAACTTTAATGTCTGAAAAGAGACATTTACCATCTATTCTCTCTGAGGCTTCATCTGCATAAAAAGAGCCTTGGCCTTTACAACCCCCTTTAATCTTGATTCAAGCATTTATTTCTTCTGACTTCAAATATTTAGACAAAGTTTAACTCTTGCAACCAATTACCAATCAGAAAATCTTTGACCCCACTGATGACATGTAAACCTTCCCCACTTCAAGATATCCCACATCTTTAGGCTGAACCCAGGTACACCTTCCTTGTATTTATTTATAGTTGTATTAGCCTGTTCTCATGGTGGTATAAAGAAATACCTGAGACTGGGTAATTTATAAAGGGGAGAGGTTTAATTGACTCACAGTTCTGCATGGCTAAGGAGGCCTCAGGAAACTTACAATCATGGCAGAAGGTACGTCTTCACAGGGCAGCAGGAGAGAGAATGAGTGCCAGCAGGGGAAATGCCAGATGTTTGTAAAACCATCAGACCTTGTGAGAACTCACTCGCTATCAGGACAACAGCATGGGGGAAACCACCCCCATGATTCAGTTACCTCCTACCGGGTCCCCTGACACATGGGGATTATAAGGATTACAATTCAAGATGAGATTTGGGTGGGGACACAGCTAAACCATATCAATGGTTTTACCTACAATTCCGATCTCCCTAAAATGTGTAAAACCAAATGGTAACCCAACTCCCTTCAGCATATTTCTCAGTACTTCTTAAGAATGTTCCCTGGGCCATGGTCACTAATATTGGCTCAGAATAAACCTCTTTAAAGTATTTTACAAAGTTTATTTCTTCCATTAACAATGCTAAGTTTAAATTTATATATGTGTAAATGTATTAAAAATTATTTAAATGTAATATTGTAACATTATGAAAGTAGGTTATGAGAGTTGAGATTTGCAAGATAGTATTAAAAAATATTCTGACACTAAAACACTAAGGAAGACCTTATTCAAAGCAATTGCGAGAGGGCTGTGCGTGGTGGCTCACGCCCATATTCCCAGCAGTTTGGGAGGCCAAGATTGTGGATCATTTGAGGTCGGGAGTTTGAGACCAGCCTGGCCAACATGGTGAAACCCCATCTCTACTAGAAATACAAAAACTAGCTGGGTGTGTTGACTCACACCTGTAGTCTCAGCTATTCCAGAGGCTGAGGCAGCAGGATCACTTGAACCTGGGAGGTGGAGGTTGCAGTGAGTCGAGATCCCACCACTGTACTCCAGCCTCCAGCCTGGGCAACAGAGTGAAACTTTGTTTGAAAAACAAAAACAAACAAAACCTCCCCCAAAAAACCCATACCAAACCAAACGAAAGAACTATTGCAATATAGAGAAGAGACTTAACTCCAACTACAGCAAACACTGCTAGAGGTACTTAGAGCCAATGAGCAGAATAATGCAGTCAATGCATGGAAAACTACTAACAGGAGGTATCCAGGGCAGGGGGAGTCTTGCTAAACTGGTATAAGAGTTATAGAGGAAAGAAACACGAAACACGGCTGGCAGTTAAAGACAGGTTTTCTTTAGTTGAAACCTGAGAGGTGCTCCTGGCTAGTTTGTCAGGAGCCCTTTCTCTTACAGACTGTGAGTATATATTTGTTTTAGGGTGAGAAGGCTTACCAGAAGCTTGGAATGTTTATGTGTGTGGATAATTTTATGGTGGGCTGGAATGTCTCTGGGAGGAGAGGAGATTATCTTGGGGCAGACATCTCTTCAGCCAGGAGGAGGGTTGTCTCGGGGCTAGCATCTTCCTGGCTGGAAGGGGTTATCTAGGGGCTAGCATGTCTGTGGTCGGGGAGGAGTTTGGAATGTTTCTGGTTGGAGATGTTATTTGTGGTTTATGGTCATGCTGACCTTAGCCATTAGGCTGATACACTTTGGATTTAGGTGGCTTTTATTAGGTTGAACTTTAGAATGAGGGGCATGTCCAAGATGGCAATGCTCCTGCTCTGTCAACTGGATTAACACAATTTTTGCTAAAGGCAAGCCATAGACTTAAATTTCAAGGGTAGGGGTAGAGGAATTTGATCAAGTGTCAAAGGCAGGAGGATTCTCACTAAACTGACCCAGCAGGATTCTTGTTAAAGGCAGGCCAAGGTCAAGGGCTAGTTGTGAAGTAGATGGAGGAGCCTGAACAAATTTTAGTCAAGGCAGATATCTTCATCAGGAGTGCTAAATGCATTTCTAAATAACGTCACAACAGCAATCAATAAATAAATAAGTACATATATATATATGATCGATGTGGTCAAAAACTTAGAGGAAACAAAAATATTTGCTGTGATCATTCTACTGGATGGGGCTGTAGTACATACTCTAAAAGCTGTGAATGACTGAATGGTGGCTCACCAAAAATTCCACCAAAATAACCTATTAAAGATAAAGCATGGCTGACTTAATTGCTTAGTTTGGTAAAAAAGATCACTCTTGTCACAGAAAGTGAGCAGCATATGGAAAGAGAAAAGCAAAGAAGAGTTGCTTATAAAGTTTTGGGGGTATGTAGTTTGACAGGTATTTCAATAAGTGGTCTTGATTAGAGTTGGGCATACTTTGTGATTAAGAGTTTAGGATAGGTGAATTGAGGGATGTGAGTGCTTTGGAGAAGCTCTTAAATAGGAAACAGTCATTTGTTTGTGCTGTATGTTGTTCTGAGAAAGATATATTTATGAGCCTTAGATGGGCGGTCTATTTTTCAAGTAAATGGGTTTTTGGAAAGTTCTTGAAAAAAAAGAAGGTTATTTGCAACTTCAGCTTCCTGGAAAGAATTTCCTGAAATATTAAAGTCATATCAATGCAGACAGTTGAATAGCAAATTGTGTTAATGTAAACAGTAAGATGTGTTGGTATAGATCGTTTCAATTCTCAAAGGAACAAGAAATAGGTTCCTTCTTGAGTTTATAAAGTAATTGAAAACCCAAAACAAACACATCAAAATGGAATAAAAAAACTCAATAAAAAAGATCGAAAGGAATTACATGATTAAATATTAACTGGCACAGGAGTTCAGAAGAGAGGGATATTAGGTGAATACTTTAAAGGTGTTGGGAATTTAACAATGCTTTGAAAAAAGTGAAAAGTTTGGACAAGATCTGGTGTATTTATTAGTGGGCATTGTAAGAAAATCTGAGTGGGAGTGAAGTTTTACATATGTGGAGAACTGTAAGCCACAGATAATCTGGACTATTTTATAGGCTATCGGTAGATAATAAATATATAAATATATGTTAAATTTTATATTTTATTATTAGGAAGCCACAGGTCTTTGAGGAGTGTTTGAGATAATGGTAAGTATTGTGTTGAATTGATTGGGCTGTGTAATGGTAATACCTAGAGCCATAGAAAACTCTTACAAAACTAGCAGTAGTCTGGGTGAGTGGTCATAAAGAACAATATAAATATAGGAGATGAAGATACAGGAAAGGTGTAACCAACAGGATGGTATGTATGTAAATGGAATTTTGAGGGAGAGTAGAGCCAAAACTATAAAAAGTTTAATTGTAGTACTGAGTTTTATATGTCTACAAGATATGTGATCTAGCATAGAATTAGAAATATAGAACTGGCCTATGGGAAATGTCAGGACATTAGTTGAATGTTTAAGAATCCATATAAGAAGGTGTGAGTAGTAAAATAGTCACTGAAGAGCTGTTGGAAAAAAAAAAAAGCCTACAGCTGAGTTTGGAAGGATGCCTTTGTTTAGATAGCAATTGAGAGGAAAGAGCATATAGAAAAATTTGAAGAACAAATACCAGGGCAAGATAGTGGTTCAAAGTCAAGAGAAGAGGATTGCAAAACCCTACTGTTCATCATCATTGTTACACACTATGAAGTTGAGTTAGGTGGATATTAAACATGGGGGAAGAACATATTGTATTTGGTTATTGCAGGTCAGTGATGATGCTGGAAGTCTGAAATTTCAGTAGAGCAAGGACTGCAGCTGTACTGCAGAAGATACAGAGAATAGCTTGTATGGCTGTTATGGAGAACAAGGTGGAAACCCCTCAGGCAAAAGGTTTATTGAGGCTTACTGTGAAAGGGAAAAAACTAGGAACAGAGAAAAACACCAGACTTAATGTACTTTTTATTTATTTATTTATTTTTTGAGACAGAGTCTCACTCTGTTGCCAGGCTGGGGTACAGTGGTGCAACATTGGCTCAATGCAACCTCCGCCTCCCAGGTTCAAGCGATTCTCCTGCCTCAGCCTCCTGAGTAGCTGGGACTACAGGTGTGCACCACCACGGCTAATTTTTTTATGTTTAGTAGAGACGGGGTTTCACCATGTTGGTCAGGCTGGTCTCATTCTGTTGACCTTGTGGTCCACCCACCTCGACCTCCCAAAATGCTGGATTACAAGCATGAGCCACCGTGCATGTACTTTTTTTCTTTAATCCTTTTGTTTTTTGAAGCAGAAATAAAAGATATTTAAGAGCTTAGAGCGCATTGACTTGTTTATAAAACAGAGCTTCTCTTTGCGAAGGAGAAAGTTCATCTCTTCCCAAAAGTCTTGGGAAAAAAATGTGCATGCAATGAGATCTTGAAGTAGAAATAAAGGATATTGAAGCCATTTCTAATGGCCTCAGTTTCTTCAGTTAAATATATGGATCCTGGGGCTCTTCAAAATATGAGGAAAGTTTAACATTGTTGTGAGCAGTGTTTTAGGGAGTTGAATTAGGAGCCTACTGTGTTTTAATTGTGAGTAGCTAAATATTCTAGATTTACCATTGATATATTTAATTAAAGAATAAAATCTTGTTGTTTAACAAACCCTTCCTAGATTTATTTGAGCATTTCCTGTGATAGTCATTTCATTTTTTCCACATTTTATTTTTAATTGCTCAGCTTTTTTTATTGAGTATAGTTTCTTTTAAAACATGGAATGCTACAGAATTTCAATTGTGGATATATCAAAAATAGTTTTAAATGAAGATTATGTTTGGATTAAAGTTTCTCAGAGAACTGATTTGCCAGAGTTTTTTCTACTTTTTGAAAACTCTTTCTCTATGTAGAGATAGATTATATATTTATTGATTTAATTTTAAAACACTGAAACTAGATTATCACGTCAAAATTAAATGCATACTTAAATTAGCCGTTAGCAAGACCAACAGAAACCAATATGGTGACTTTTTATTGTTACATATGGAAGATGAATTTTGTCGGATTTCAACTTCTCAGAAGACTCACAGCATAACCCGTTAAGCAAAGCTGAGTTTATTACCTATAATAGTCAGAAAAGACAACATTTTACAAGAGTCGGAGTGTCCAGAAGGAGAGGATTAAGGCGAAATATGAATAGGGTTGGAAATCTAGGTTTGAGTAGATAAGACTGAACTTTCAATGTGAGGATCTGGTTTGGTTAGGCACATTTCAAGACGTAATAGTTTAGGATTGGTGAACACAGAAAGGCAGGAATCTTGAAGTGAGTTGTTTGATAATTGAGCCATTTACCCAGTTTTAGGAGTTTAATGTTTCTAGAAACTAATTTTCAGCCATTTTCTGAAAAAAAAAAAAAAAAAAAAGTTTTTCGTTCTGATTTACAACGTTAAGTTCATAAACAAGAACTTCCTAGAACAAACAGTAAAATAATGTGAATGTAGGCTGCCTTTATTTTTGGTCCTGATAGATAAGGTGGATGCAGAAGTCTCAGTTCTTAATTTCAATACCACATTGAGAACTAAATTAACAATGGAAAATGCTTTATTATCTGCTTTGTGTGGAAGAGGTATAAAATATAAGGCTGCATTTACCTGAAAGATTTTAAATTAGGATACTATGTTTTTCTTTTTGTCAGCCAAATTATGGGAAAAAAAATTGGATCGAAATGGCAGTAATGATAGTTAGGGTTACTGCAGACTGAAAATACGTGCTTAGATCTCAGGGTACACAGGCCAGATAGTGATTCTATTCTGCCATACATTTTCATTTTAGGAAAACTGACTGAGTCGAATGTGTGTTCAGAATAATTGGCTCTTAACTGTCAAAGAGTTAAAAAGGAGAAAAGATTATTTAATCAAAGTACCTTGTAGATATGCATAGTGCCATGCTTTAAGAATATTTCAAGTACTCCTACCTTAATCTTTCCATGTTAATGCACTTAAGTCATTGATCTGATTCACTCATATTTGATTACTTAAAGTTAAACAAAATATATCATACAACATTTAGAAATGTAGTTCCAGAATGAAGGATCACTATTAGTCTGGTAGATAACTGTTAATCTAGTAACAGGAGTTTCAAAACTGGGGATTCCACTAGTGATTATAAATCAAACTGTAAAGTAGGATAAATATGAAATCCAGAAGACCAGATTATAAAGAACAAAAAAAACCCCAAGAAAATTAATAAGGGCAGATATTAGTTTCTTTTAAAATAATTCATGCAAAAATCTTTATTATTTATTAAGCTAGAGAATTACATGTGAATTTTAAAAGTTTATCCTATTAATGCAACATTGAGAGTCTAACAGTAAAATTTGCAGGAGTGTAGATCTAAAGGTATTTACAAATCTCAATTCTCTGTAGATTTTTCTCAAGGCCAAATAATTATCCAAGAAAATTGACTTTAAATAAACTGATATTAAGTGTAGTCTTTATCTTTTCAAACAAGCTTCACTTCCTTCTACTTTGTTCTAAGGGAAATCATGATGAATTTTCTTTCGATCACCCCTAATAACAACCTATCACTCATTTAAGATTTTCTTTCACTATGAGGAACTATGGGGTCACGCATTTCTTTTTCTCTTCTCTTGACTAGGAATCACCATTCATACTAAAATTGCTCTATGGCTTTTCTTTCTCTCTAACACCACAGACCTCATCTCAATTTAAAATTCTGCATTGTGCTTGTGTACTCACCCAATGATTTCTTCCTATCCACTGCAAAAACCAGTTCACTGAGACGTTGGTATTGCAGTAAAGAAGAGTTTCAGTAACATGAGATTAGCCATGTGGGAGAACTGGAGTTATTACTCAATGAGTTTCCCTGAAGTCTTGGAGGTCAGGGTTTTTCAAGGAAAGTTTGGTGGGCATGGGACTAGGGAATGGATGCTGCTGATTGGTTGGGGGGGATGCAATTATAAAAGTGTGGAAAACTGTGCACTGAGTCTGCCTCTGGATGGGAGGTCACAGGACTGGTTGAGTCATGAGTCCAGGTGAGGCCAGTCTGAAAATCATCTCAGAAGACCAACCTGAGGTTCTACAACAGTACTATCATCTATATTATCTATATATAGGCGAGTCACAAATCTTGTGACCTCTGGCCACATGACTTTTGAGCAGTAAGGGATTATAGAAACTATAGCTACATTTTAGGAGAATTCAGGCCTCTTTCATAATTTCAGTTTTGTGTCCTTTCATTAGTATTACAAGGGTGGTTTCAACCCCTGAACGAGGAGGGGATGAGGTTTAGGGAGGGACTATTATTATTCTTGTTTCAAGGTTAAACTATAAACTAAATTTCACCAATGGTTCGCTTGGCCAATACCCAAGAATGAGTGAAGACAGCCAGCCTACGAGCCTAAAAGCAAGATGGAGTCAGCCATGTTAGATTTCTTTCATTATCATAATCTTTGCAAAGATGTTTTTGCCTGCCTTTTGAGAGAAAAGCTACTTGTCGAGTGTTTTGTTTTGTTTTGCTCTATTTATCTCCATGATGCAATGGAAAATGGAAATTTATTTTCTCTTAATTTATTGAGAAAATATTGTAAGGATGATTTTGTTAGGGCATGCTATTTGGCTCTTGATAATTCATGATGATATGTTCATCACAATCAAGAAGTGGGCCAGAGATGAGAATATTTTAAAAAATTCATAGAGGGAATAGAAGTTAGAACTCAAAGTTGAGGTTGGACTGTTGATTTGAGCAAGCATTAATTGTGAGCAGGAGGACAGGAGATCAAATCAGCTGGCAAGACCAAATGAGCATTACAGATGATTGGTGTTGCTGTTGAGACATGATCATAAATATGAATGAAAAGGAAAAGGAAGAGAGGAAAAGAATATAAATCAAAATAAATATTTATTGTTTATGTAAATCTGTTATTTGTTCTGCATCAACAGAAAGGAAAACAGATAAAGTTAATGATAAAAAAAAAAGAACCCAATTCCTTTTTAGCTGATAAAAGAAGTTCAGAAGGTGATACAGGCCTTAATTTAAAGATCATATAGAACTATCAGTCCATACGGCCAGCCTCAGGGAGTAACTGGGAAATCCCTTCTTTATCTCCTTACTTTCCTCCTTCCTAAAAAGTCCATTTGACTTTCCCTGTTTCCCAGGCCACAGTTCCAACATGTCACTGTTCCCATGTGATTAAGGTCAAGAACTACTGGCCCTCTGTGTTATTCTTGACTCTAACAGGAGAGTCATATTGGACTATGTGTTTTGAATTAGATACTGAAGAAAACAAACTTCAGCTTTGCTAATATTTCTTGCTTCTTGTCATATAAATTGTACGTGTAACTATTAATAATATTTAAATAATGAGAGAAGGGGTCAGAAAATCTTGTTCTGCCAAAAGTGTCAGACACCTTTTCGTGTGTTTTTGTGGCTAATCTTTGTAACTCATCATTTAGTACTTGTTTTATAACTTTGCAAGTGGAGACATTCAGTTTCTGAGAGATTGTAACTTATACACATTCATTCACTATAAGTAGTGAATCTAATCTCCATTAATATCACCTTTCTTCCTAGAATGAGCAGGAGATTAGGGATGTGTAAGCAAGAAAAGGCTAGAATTGGGTAAAATTGGGTAAAAAGATTATGATTTAAAAAGAGAACATATTCAAACCTACTTTAATGTGGCTATCTTCTCTTTTACCTAATCATATATATATATATAATTATGTATAATTATATATATATATATATTTATCTCCAGAGTATCCTTATATCCTGTCAGTTTTACCTCGTTAGTAATTTCAGGCAGAGATATTGTTAAGATGTTTTAATTTTCTAACAAATATGGCCAAACTTACCTCAAAAATATGTAAAAGCAATTATCTGAAAGAAATGCAATTATTTAAAATGAAGACATAGTTCTTCTAGAGTTGAAAAAGTTCATTCATTGATATAGTAGTAGCCTCAGATTTTGAGCTGCAATTGTGCAAGCCAGGTAAAATACCACAGAAAAAATTCACAACCCAGAAGAGAATTCAAGATGCTGAATAGGAATTCAGTGGTGGTAGAAGAATTGGATCCATAAATAGGTCTGCATGAGAATGATTCAATCTTAGGAGACATAGAACTGTTAGAGTTACAGTCAACTGGCAGCACTTTTAAGTTAAAATACTGGATCATCATCAGTAATGGTTTACTTTAGAGACTGGAGGCACTTCTCTTTGCCCATTTTTTCTCACCACAGAATGTGCAGCAGACTGCCCATATTTTAATTAATTTTCATTTGTTAAACCATGAACCTGAGTGGCCCTCATACTAACCCCTTGTTCATTGCACAATAGACCATGTGTTAGGCGGGCTTCCTGATCTTTCACGAGAATGAATGCCAAGTACAGAAATCTGCTTGGGTTATTGAAGGCTAAAAATGATTATTCTAATGTGTCTGTTTATTTTGCACGTTTTCTCCCCTACAGTTACTATATTATCTAGTCAATGTATTTGTCAATTGTGAATGTCTTTGTTGTTGCAGATACAGATGTGGTGTATAAAAGCGAGAATGGACATGTCATTAAACTGAATATAGAAACAAATGCTACCACATTATTATTGGAAAACACAACTTTTGTAAGTAATGAATAATTAATTACTTTATGCATTTCAGTACTGTTTAGAAAGCTCTCTAGATGTACATAACTTTCTATTCTTCAGCTCCAGCATTTGTAAAGCATTTCAGGTGAAAAGTTGGGGCTGGAATATCATAAGAATCAGTAAATCTATTGATAAAAAATACCCTGTGACTATCTGCTTCATTTTCTTCCCGTTTACTCTTGTTAATAATTGGAGAAATATTTCCAAAAATAGTAGTTGCTTAGAAAGAATAATTTTCCCAATATTTTATATATAACATTAGTCATACAAATACCAAGGTTAAAAACAATGGCTCATCTAGCCTTATTTATTATTAACTTTCTTTTCTTCTTTACTTTTCATTCTTTCTGACTTCTTTCTAGTTCTGTTGTTTTCTGGATCAGATAGAAAGGCTTTCTAAAGGTGGTCTTCAGCTGAGGTTGATGTGTTTTAGAATTTAGGATTCTGTCAGTACCATTTTACTTATTTTGTATCACTGTTTCGCCAACATGGTTTAAATTATTGTTTGTATTTATATTGGTCTTAATACAGACTTTGTCTTTCTGAAAAATCTAGTACCCTAAGGTTAGGAGACTTAGCTATAATTACCTATTTGGTAAGCAATAATGAATCAGTATTGCAAATGTTGAAAATCTAGCTACCCAACACCAACGAAAAATAGTACACAGTTATTTACTTACTATTTTATTGTAATTAAAGTTTCAATAGACTGCCAATTAGATGAATGTATACAATACAGACAAAATATAGTACAAGCTCTCAGAAAACCTCCACAAAATAAAAAAATAAGCAAAATTGTTGGCTACTTTTAAAAATGTATTCTACTTGTACATTTAAAATAAACGTTTAATCTTCGTATTTATTATGGAATGGCCCTATGGAAAAAATGGACTAAGAATATTCTGTTTAGTATTTTTACATATTAAGGAGAAAAGGTCATTACAATCATTAAGTGATTATATATGTATATCATTGGGCTAAATTTAACCAGCCAACTAATGTACATTAATAATAAGGTCATCAGCCAGAAGAAAAATAATGACATTTTTGGTTTTAAACTAATTACAGGGAATCAAAGAATAGTTACTTTGTGTGCAACTCTTTATGGTACTCGTGGGATGTCAAGGATATGTACAGCAGATTGCCTACTGTCTAAGAATGTGGATTTCCTTTGGGAGATAATACTAACCCTTACGGAGAATTTTAATAAACAGTATACAGCAGTGTTTACTATTTCTTCAGTGGATGGTCCTCAGGGATACTAGAAAAAAGCCTAGAGAATCATTGAGAAATACTGTCAATAGTGGAAAATTAGCCATTAGTAAGAAGATAGGATAGGAGACAGAATTCCAGAATTGATAATGATGAGAAGGTATGATGATAATATATGGATTAAAGTCAGAATGAATGGATTTTTAATAAAATTAGTTTGGGGAACAAAAATTGAGTGCATTTTAATTTTTGCTTTTTCTTCATAAAGTAACATAATTTTATGGAGATTCTAGGCCCTCAGTAGCCAAGCATTCAGGTTAGATATACTCAGTACATGAATTATTCTATTATGTGGCTGTGCCTCATTAAATACTCATTTACACAAGTCAGTGAGGTTTTCCCCCATCACTAATTATGTTTTGGTTTTCCATTATTTATTCATTACTTTTTTATCTTCCATGATACATCAAAAAAGAAACCAAAACAAACAGAACTTTTAGATTATTATTCCATTATCTCAATTCTTTTGCTGGTACTACACACCATCACCATCTCATATCATTGTGGTTTTCTCCATGTGCTAATTATTGCTGTTTTATCTTTGTGTTTCTGTGTTATATCTTTTTAAATCCTTTTGAGGTCTCTTTCTATTCTCCTCTACATTAGCCGTGACTCTTAATTACCACAGGGTCATATTTAGCAAATATTCTAATTTACTTGTCTTCTAAGATTCATATGCTCCCTAAGGACATTTATGTCACAACACAGATAATTAAGCAATTTATAAGTCCTAGAGGTGTCTAAATTCGATGTCGGGCAGGGGTTAGGGGAGTGGAAGGTGGCATCAGTTTGCAACCAGTTACCCAAAACTGAGAACAAAAATAGGAATTACCATAATTCCAGATGATTTCAAAGGAGCTTGTTTAATCATTCTCTCCTAACTTCAAAATGGCATTATTTAATACACTTATGTTTTTAATACTAACGTTAGGCTAAAACCGGGATTTAATTTCTCTTCCAGGAAACTCTGTTGAAAAATATATTTTATTGAAACATATTGCTGGTTTTTCTGTGAGCAATTATCAATATCTTAATTATAATAATAATTAATTGGATCAGATCAGTATAAAAAGCTTTGAAATGAAAGCATGACAAGTCATTTGAGAAAATAAATATACTATTGATGAAAATGTCATAACAGAATGGCCTGTTCTATAGTAAGACATATTATGCTAAAATATGACTACAAATTTATTTTTAAAATTAAGATAATTTGACATCTTAATTTATCTTATGATATCTTGTTTGACATCTTATCACTTTTCAGCTTAAACACATTTTAAATATGATTGGTGTGTACTTTTGGTTATGTAATCATGGTTAGCAGACTCTATGATTAAAATAAATATTGGGCATGGTTGCCAAAATAAAAAATACTTTTTTAAAAATGAAATAATTGTGTTAAGGCATTCTTTTGGATTGAAGGTAGGTGGATTTCTAATGAAAGGAGGAAATTAAAGGGCATACAACTTTTGAATTAGAGGATGGGAAGTAAGTGGTTTAGCCTCAAAAATGCTCTTTATAATTTCTAAGTGTTTGGAAATGTTATCTCTTAAAGCCAGAACTATTTCAAACAAAAGCTCAGTCACAATGTCATAATGAGGAAACTGTTTCCTAAGTATTAGCTGTACTCTTTCTGCTGTCAATAATCTGAATATCACCAGTGACCACGGCTGAAAATACCGGCAGCTATAAATTGTTTTATCAAATCACTTTTTGAAATTATAAGGGGGTTGTAAACATAAGTCCAAGCCCCATGTGCTTAAGTATAGTTAAGATTTTAAAAATATGTATCTTTTTTGTTTTTTAAGACACAAGCTCTTGCTCTCTTGCCCAGGCTGGGATGCAGTGGTGCAATCATAGCTCACTGCAGTCTTTAAACTCCTGGGCTCAAGTGAACCTTCTGCCTCAGCCTCCTGAGTAGCTAGGACCACAGGTGTGTGCCACCAGGCTCGGCTAATTTTTTAAAACAGTTTTTTTTTTTTTAGAAATGGAGTCTCACTATGTTGCCCAGGTTCATCTTGAACTATATCCTCAAGTGATCCTCCTCTGGTGGCCTCACAAAGCACTAGGTTTATAAGAGTGAGTCACAGAGCTTGGCCCCCTAGAATATATATCTTATGCATTAATATGAAAAGGAATAATTGAGAGATAAGACTCTAATCTGAAATCTCTGAAACTCTGTAAGCCTATTTAAATACATTCTACTAAAAAAGTAGCCATAACACAGGAAGGAAATTCATATATGGCAGCAGAATGATTCCAAGCAAAATGTTAGTTACGTATTCATTGGTCTAAGTGTTTATTTATATATAGGCAATTACAAAATAGTAGGTTTGGGAAGAACCAAGGAAGATTCATTGATTTATAATGCCTAGAGACAGCATCAGCTGGCTTCGATGTCATCCTAGTGTTTTTCATTTGGTTTCTTTGTTGTTTTATTTGTTGTGCTGTTGGGTATATGGAGGTGATAGATCCAACTCTGTACCGCTGTGAAATCAAGAAACTTACTATTCAGTTTGTGTTTGAGTAAATAGGTGCCCTATTGAAACAACAACAAAAACAAACACAGTAGCACAGATAAAGAATTACTGAACAAAGGCACCGACAATTGTACCTCATAAAATTTGAGATGAGGAAAGATTATCAGAAAATTCGATTGGCCACGTAGCCTCACATAATGGCCAATAGTAATGGATGATTTGTTAATTATTTGTAAGATTTGGTCTACTCAGTATCTGTTGGAATCCCAGTAGTGATAGACATCAGTAGTGTAACTAACACTGATTAATCAGTGAAGCTGTGCATATCAATGTTGTGTTTTGACAGTATTGTTTCTTTCTTTCTCTAGAGCAGTGTTTCTCCACTGGGGGTGATTTTGCTCCCAGGAGACATTTGTCAGCTCTGGAGACATTTTTGATTGTCCTGAATGAATGTGAGGGGTTTGCTGTGGGAATCTAGTGAGTAGAGGTCAGAAATGTGCATCCTACACTTAACGCAACCAGAAATGTCAGGAGTGTAGAGTTTGAGAAACCCTGTTCTAGACAGAGATACAAGAGAAACCCTGTGATAATTAGAAGGTAATTTTCTGAGGTGGGATCAAAGTAATGACTTTTAAATTGATAATTTTAAGGGAGATATTAAACTGTGGCTTCCAGGTTCATTAGTTTCAGGTACTTTTCTTCTTTTGAATAACCCTGCAAAGAAGACCAGCATGCATGAGTAGGATCATTTGGCCTTGGCTTCCTCTCTTGTGTGTATTGCTGAGTATAAAATAAAAGTGTGACCCAGTTTTCTTACAATTTTTGGATGATACTTCTGATTGGGACTTTTTTGTTCAGATAAGTTAGTATCACTTATTTGGCTATTGCCAACTTTTTTTTTTTTTTTTTTTACTAGGAAGCAGTTGTTCCTTTTTAAGATAGAGGATAAAAACTGATGGCTACTGGGGACTCCAGTCAGCATAATTGCTTTCATTGGTGCATTGTGCTTATGAATAATTGAATTTCATCATCTTTTGCTTGGGCATGTCCTTCCCCTCGCTATAGCAGTTACCATTTCCTGTTGCTAGATACCTTCATATTTATCTTATTTTTATCATTCACTATGAAAATATTTAGATACTTATTATATCCACAATATTTATTTAAAAATGATTATTTATGTTTGTTTACATTATTTAGGTAATATTTGGAATATTTCCAATTCAGTCATCAAAATAGGATGTAACATTGATGTACATTCAGGGAAACAAATGGAATAATACATGTTTCAGCAAAGATTGGACACCTTTCTATATTTAGTTAGGGAAGGAAACATTGAATCTACCATAGACATTTAGGCTCTTCAAAATTTTCTGTAAGTTAGATATATGTGAAAGTGAATTCCAGCATAGCTTTAAAAGTAGTGGTCATTAAAACAGGGAAATTAGAAAGAAAATTTCTGATCCTTACCCTGGAAGTCTACTCAGGCACTATTTTAATTAAAAGTGTGAGAGGAAATAGTCTTGTTGCTTCTATGTGTTTGCAAGTGTGACAGGATTACCCTGCAGTTTCAAACAGTTATTCATACAGTTCCCCATAGGTTTAAAGGGCTAAAATTGACTACTACATTATTATTTTTTACCCTCAATTACCATTATGAAGGATCTAGAAATTAGATTCTACTAACTAATTTATTCATGAGGACAAAGTATCTCAGATGGTAGGACCATTTTATTGTCAATAATCATAGTGTTACTAATAAATCCACATTCATAGCCATTTATTATGCATATTGTTAAATGAGTAAGTCATCCTTATAAACAAAGTTATCTAAGTAATATATAAATAAAATTATCTGAGTAATATAAAAATAATATTAAAAATAATATAACTAAATTGTTTCCTTCAGATAGGAATACAATTATGACAAAAATTAATTAGATGACACTTGTTTAATTATATGAACTAGAGCTTGGTTCAATCTTGTCTGACAGAGCCTATTAGATATATGTGATAAAAGGATTACAATTCCAGTGTTGATTTTTTTAGAAGATTCTTATTTAGTCTCTTTGGAGCTGGAGGTGTCAGACAGGATGCTGGAAACCAACAGGCAGCTAGATTTATAACAACTGTTTGCGATTGTTTTGGAATTTGGCTTCCTGAGAGGTCAGCTCTCTGACGTGTATCCAGAATCAGTCAGTCCATCTTGAGCAAGTCGAGGCTCTAGTTTAAACATTTGATGGATATTTCTGCCCTTCATTTTCTTGCTGAATAATTTTATATATTGCTGTCTCCCAGTCATAGAAAGCCAATTAGAAATTTTTAAAAATACTGGCCAAAGGATACAAAGTGTCAGACAGAAGGAATAATAAGCTTTAGAGAAACACAACAGGGCAACCAGAGTTAAGAATAATGTATTGTGTATTTCAAAATTACTGAGAGTAAATTTCAAATGTCTTACTACAAAAAGATGGGTATGGGAGCTGATGAATATGTTAATTAGCTTGCTTTAATCATTCCACATTGTGTATTCTTCCATATATATCAGAACATCACATTTTACCCCATAAATATATACAATTATAGTTTATAAACTAAAATTATTAATACAAATAAAATAATAAAACACTCAGTGTTTTATTACTTTATGATGGAACTTAAGCAAACAAAATACATTTTCGAGAAACTTTTCAAGCTTTGGAAGTTGATGATATAAAAATAATTTTTCCCTTCTTTTGATCTTTCAGAATACTTCAGTCTACACAGCTTTGATGATGTAGAACTATGCGTTGCCAAAACTTCTGCAGCCCTTCCACACTTCACATTACATAATACAGATATTTTAATAGTATATTGGAAATATATTAAATTAGTATTTTAGTTTGCTTGTGAAACATGCGTGAGCATTCAAGGAAGTTCAATTTTTGGTAAACATTAAATGATAATGACAGCTCATTATAGAGCTAGAAAGCATTTTCCCTGTCTCCTACTTCAGTTGAAATTTAAAAAAGTAAAAAATCAACTGAGACCCAGAGAAATAAAGAGACTTGCTCAATAAATCTAGTGTAGTCTTGAGACTAAGGAAAACATTTCTTGACTCCTAATCCATTGTTGTTTTTAATATTACTAGCTGAGAATTCCATTCAAAATACCTTTTAAAGAAATGTGAAAATAAATAATGATCCTTTAGTTTTTTATATATATAAAAATCTATGTTTATTTGTGGAATTTTTACTTAAACCTTTTAGGAAAGATGCTTGAATTAAATATATGTATGTTTGTATGTATTTATTCATATGTTCACATAATACAGATAGAATAGATATCTATGTATAGATCTATCTATGCAGATATTGATCTATCTATATCTATCAATCAATCAACCAGTCTATCCATTTTACTACCAGATAATCAGTAAGGAAACATTATATAGTGAGTGGAAAAGAGGAAAACTGTGAGTGTGGTTTACATAGCTTTGTTTGCCTTAACTTGTCTGAAGTCATCATATTTGTTTTTAACATATTTTAAATATTGTGATGACTATAACCTGTGTCATCATTCTTTCCATCCAAATGTTTTCAATTATTGTTGAAATATTGCCTCGTGAACAAAGGATAACAACCTTGGCTGCATTACACACACACGCACGCGCACACACACACACACACACACAGACACACACACCCCACCAAGCAAGCAGCACCTATTATTATGAACTACTACTCTACTTCTCTTCTTTCCCCTGATATATCTGGCTGAAATAATCTAGTTTATATTTGAATTTCTTCTGTGTCTTAAAAACTTGTAGAGATTTTTCTACTTCTCCATCTTTATGATGTTTCTGCATCATTGTTGAAATGACTCATTATGCCTTATTACTTTATTAATTTATTTGCCAAGTGTTGTTTGGATCCCTGTTGTGTGTCAGATAATATTCCAGATTCTGGGGATACAATGGAGAGCAAGACAAGTTTGTCAGACTGACAATAAATGAGTAATTCATTGAAAATACAAGAAAATGTCAGCTAGTAAATTTAAATCCTTGTTGAAAAATAACATAGGGTGAGGTCTAGAGAATGATTAGTTGCTTAGGAAAGGCTCACTACGGAGATAACATTTCAAGGTCAAATTGAAGAGTTGTGTAGGTTGCAAGGCCAGTAATTACAAACAACATAGGGTTCAAACTATATAGATCTATTCCAAGAACAGAAAATATGTAAGTGGTGGACATGGGTAGAGAATGGTACAAGATGAACTCAATGAGATAACTAGGGGAAAGATTTATACTGAGTTTTGTAGGTCAAGGTTTTATTTTGTGAGCAGTAGGTACACTCTGAAGAAAGAAAGTGGCAATACCTAAGTCATATTTTAAAAGTACACTCTGTCAATTATATGGAGAGCATTTTCTAGGGATATTAAAGTAGAAACTGAGAGACCATTCTGAAGGCTATTGCAGTGGTACAAGTAGGAGAAGATGCAGGGTGTGAACTATGTACAGGGATGCTATTGGAGAAGGTAAAAAGTAGGTGGGTGGAGGATTTGCTTGGAGATAAAATGGGTAGGGCTTTGTTGGTTAATTACCTTCAACTTGTTGGAAATAGAGGAATCAGCATCATCTCTGAGGTTTTAAATGTCATTAAATGGGTAATTCTATTTTGAATATTTTGCCACAATTTTTGACAATGGAATCTATTTCATGGTTAGGTCTTATATGTACATGTTTATGCATGTTTTCTGTGTATAACAGTATAACAGAGGAATTTTTAGAAGCCTGGTTGAAAAAATCTTGAAATAAAATTAACAAATTTATAATAAATAGAACATAGACATGCAATCCATTGTCTCTTGGGGCTTAAAATATATTATATTGCCTATGATTATTTGATTCAATGACTCCATAATATTTTATATGCTTTTTCTGTCCCAACTACAACTACAGCTGAAGATACAATAGAAAATAGGAGAGAAAATAGGAGAGCTCCTGCCATAAGGAAAACAGGAGAGCTCCTGCCGTAAGGATCTCATTATGTATTAAGGGAGATATGCACTAATCAAATAATTAGATATATAAACATTTACAATTTATGACATAGAATAACTGCAAAGTATAGGAATATAAGAATGAAAGTTAAATATTGCTTTTACTTTTATTGCTTAATATCCATGTCAGAATTTCTAATGCATTGGCTGTATCTGTTTTAAATAAGTCACGGAAAGCTTTCCTAAAGAAATGAAGATGAGCCGGGCTCAATGGCTCACGCCTGTAATCCCAGCACTTTGGGAGCCTGAGGCAGGTGGATCACAAGGTCAAGAGATTAAGACCATCCTGGCCAACATGGCGAAACCCCATCTCTACTAAAAATACAAAAATTAGCTGAGTGTGGTGGCATGTGCTTCTAGTCCCAGCTACTCAGGAGGCTGAGGCAGGAGAATTGCTTGAACTTGGGAGGCGGAGGTTGCAGTGAGCTGAGATAGCGCCACTGCACTACAGCCTGGCAACAGAGCGAGACTTCATCTCTAAGTAAATAAATAAATAAGAAATGAAGATGACTGCAGATAAGTTGACTAAGCAAGAATATGGCTTGAGCATAGTGGGACAGGCATGAGGCATGGAGTATTAGAAACAAAGAATGCCATGGTAGTGGGAGCAGCACAAGGAAGGGGGAAACAGGTTGGAGAATTAAGTAGTGGCCAGATCATGCGGGTCATGGTGCTAAATTTTCAAAAATGATCAGATTTGCTTTTGGAAACAAATATATTCCCGTTGAAGTGAGAAAGTAAGTTAAAATTGAAAGTTGTGGCTCAAGAAAGGACAAATAAAGACACTAGTGGATGGCCTAGGCTTGAGATTATAAGCAAATGGACTTAGGCAGTGCCAGCAGAGAAGAGAAAGATTTGGACGATAATAATAAGTAAAATAAAAAGAAAGTAACAAAATAAGAATGTAGTGGTTGGTGATGGCGGTTAGAATGATGTATCAGGGATAATTCTTGAGATTTTGGTTGTATGACTTAAATGAAAGGGGAGTTAACCATTGAGATGGGGAATTCTGGGTGAGAACCAGGTTTGAGCGTATGGTTGGATGAAAATATCTGTTAAACGGCATTTAGTAACTAAGTGGGGAAATCTATCAAACAGTATTTAGGGTGTCACATTTCTTGATTCAAATGTGAAAAATGAACCTTTAAGTTAAAAATAGTCTCCACTCCTAGGTGGAGGTTACAGTGAGCTGAGATTGCGCCACTGCACTCCAGCCTGGACGACAGAGCAAGACTCTGTCTCAAAAACAAAATAAAACAAAAGAACACAAAACAAAACAAAACAAAACAAAGGTAGTCTCCACTTCTTAAAAAGAAGGAGCAGAGTTGTGGATCATATGGTAATTCTGTATTAGCAGTTTGAGGAACTTCTAAGGTGGTTGCATGGATTTGCCTTCCTAGCAATGGTATAAGAGGGGCTTGATTAATTCACATCTCTACAAAACAGGTTCTTACCTATTTGATTTTAGCCATTTTAGTGGGTGTGAAGTAATATCTTGCCATGGCATTTATTTGTATTCCCTTAATTTATTGATGATATTGAGGATCTTTTCTTGTGCTTATTGATCATTTGTATATCTTTGTTGGAGAAATGTCTGTTCAAATTCTTTGCCCATTTTTTATTGAGCTCTTTTCAATTGCTGAATTGTAAGATTTTTTCATATATTATAAATCAAATTCCTTGTCAGATACATAAGTTTCAAATGTTTTCTCCCAGGTATGTTGTCTTTCACTTTCTGATTGGTGTCTTTTGATGCACCAGATTTAAATGTTGATAAAGTCAAATCTATTTTTTCTTTAGTTTTCTATACATTGTTAATTTAGACTAACTTCTTTTTGTGTGTTTGAGAACATAATAGATTTTTATTTCTATGTTTAGTTCTATGATACATTTTGAGTGGATTTTTTAATATGATGTGAGGAAAGAGGTCCACATTTATTCTTTTGCATGTGGAAATACAATTATCCATGTAACATTTTTGAAAAGATTTTTTTTTCTGTTGAATAATTTTGGCACCCTTCTCAAATGTCAGCTGACCACAAATATATGATTTTGTCTTGGGACTCTGTATTCTATTAATCTATATGTTTATCCTTAGGCCAGAAGTTCAGTCTTGACTGTTGTAGCTATGTGGTGAGACTTGTAATCAAGATGTGTGAGCCCTTGAACTTTGCTCTTTTTCAAAATTGGATTTCTGTGTCCCTTACATTTCCATATGAATTTTAAGATCAACTCGTAAAATTTGCAAACAAAGTCAAAAGAAGCTAAGACTTTTGATGGTGATTATATTGCTTATGTAGATCAATTTGAAAAATAGTGCTACACTAACAAGGTTCTGATCTGTAGACATACAATGTCTTTTAATTTATTTAGATATTATTCAGTTTCTTAAAAGAATGTGTTATATTTTTCCATCTAAAAATCATACTTTTATTGTTGAATTTGTTACTAGGTATTTTATTGCTTTTGTGGCCATTATAAATAGAATTGTTTACTCCATTTCATCTTTAAATTGTTTGCAGCTAGTGTATAGAAATGTAATGATTTTTGTGTGTTGAATGCTTATCCTGCCACATTGCTGTATTTGTTTAGTAGTCCAGGCTCTTTATACTCATAAGGGGTTATCAGTCTGTAGCTTTTTCCAACTATGTCTTTGTCTGGTTTTGATATCAAGATAATACTAGCCTAATAGAATAAGTAGCAAATTGTTTCTTCCTTTTATTTTTTGGAAAAGTTTATGAAGGATTTTTTTTAATGTTTCATGGAACTCACTGATGATACCATTATGGCCTAGGCTTCTTTTTCACAGGAAGTTTTAAATTTATTTCATCAATCCTTTTACATGTTATAAGCCTATTCCAAATATATATTACTTCTGAAATTTATGTCTTTCTAAGACTTCTTGTTTTGATCTAAATAACTGAATTTGTTGATAAGCAATTTTATAGTATTCTGTTACATGTTCATTTCTGTAAGGTTGATACTGATGCCTCTTCTTTCATGCCTGATTTTAGTAATTTGAATCTTGTTATTTTTTCTCATCCATCTATCTAGAGGCTTGCCAATTTTATTTTTCTTTTCAAGGAAGAAACTCTCAGCCTTATTCATTTTCTCCATTGTTTTTTTAGCCTAGATGTAACTTATTTCCACCTAAGCTTTTTTATTTCCTTCCTTCTGCTTGCTTGTGTTAGTTTCCTTGTTTTTTTCCTGACTTCTTTAGGTAGAAGTTTAAGCTATTAATTTGAGATATGTATTTTCTTCTTGCCCTTTTTTCTTCTTTCTTCTTCTTCTTCTTCTTCTTCTTCTTCTTTTTTTTTTTTTTGACACAGGGTCTCACTCTGTTACCTAGTCTGGAGTGTAGTGGTACAATCATATCTCACTGCAGCCTCAACCTCCCAGGCTCAAGTGATCCTCCCACCTCAGCCTCCTGAGTATCTGCACTACAGATGTGTGCCACCATTCCCAGCTAATTTTTTTAAAAAAAGTTTTGTCACACTGTGGTCTCACTATGTTTCCTAGGCTGATCTTGACCTTCTGGGCTCAAGTGATCCTCCTGTCTTGGTCTGCCAAAGTGTTGGGATTACAGGTGTGAGCCACCACACAAGACTTCCTCCCTCCCTTCCCCACTCCCTCCCCTCTTTCCTTCCTTCCTGTCTCCCTCCCTTTCTTTTCTTCTCTTCTATTTTTCTTTCTTTTTGACAAAGTCTCACTCTGTTGCCCAGGCTGGAGTGCAGTGTTGTGATCATGGCTCACTGTAGCCCCAATCTCCCAGGCTTAAGCAACCTTCCCACCTGAGCCTCCTGAGAAGCTGGGACTTCAGGCATGAGCCACCATGTCTAGCTAAATTTTTAATTTTTTGTTAGATTGTGTCATACTATTTTGCCCAGGCTGGTTGTGAACAACTTACCCCAAGCAATCCTCCCACCTAGGCCTCCCAAAGGGAGGATTACAGACATGAGCCACCGCACATGGCCTAAGATTACAGATATGAGCCACTGCACCTGGCCTCTGGCTTTTTCTTTCTTTCTTCCTTTCTTTTCTTTTCTTCTTTCTTTTTTTCCTCTTTACTTTCTCACTCTATTTCGTTCCTAATATAGATTTTTACAGCTAATAATTTCCCTGTAAGTTCTTCTTTACTATATATCATAAATTTTTGTATTTTGTGTTTTCATTTTCATTCTTCTCAAAGCATTTTATTATTTCTGTTGTTATTTATTTCTTGATTCATTGGTTATTTAGGTAACTGTTGTTTAGTATCTATATATTTGTGAATTTCCCAAATTGCCTTCCATTATTGATTTTTAATATAATTTCATTTGGGTCAAATAACATACTTTTTATAATTTCAATACTTTTCCATTCATTGAAACATGTTTTGTGGCCTAACATATGATCTCACCTAGAAAATATTTCATGCAAACCTCATAAGTATGTGTGTATTTTCTGCTAGCATTTCTGTCTGTAAGATCTTTTTGCTTTAGAATGTTGTTTGTCTTCTATTTTATTACTGATGTTCTGCCTACTGGTTCTATCCATTGCTGAAATCAAGGTTTTGAAGTCTCCAACTATTTATTATTAAATTGTTTATTTTCCCTTTCAATTCTATAAATTTTTGCTTCATATATTTGTGAGCTCTATTATTATGTGCATACATATTTATAATTGTTTTATTTTTCTGATAGAATGGCCCTTTTATTATTGCATAATTTTTATCTTTGTCTCTAGTAAGAATTTTTGCCTTAGAGTGTATTTCATTTGATGTTAGTGAAACCATTCTATCCTTGTTTTGTTTACCAGTTTCATGGTATACCTTTTTCACCTTTTTATTTTAAACTTATTAGTGTCTTCAATTTAGAATATATCCTTTGTATACAGCATATAATTATTTTAAAAAAATTTATCCTGTCAACCTACACATTTTGATTCATGTGTTTATTTTCATTTAATGCAATTATTAATAAGGTAGAACATATATTGGCCATTTATTTAATAATATTTGTTTTCTACATATCATATGTCATTTTTGTTTCTCCATTCTTGGATTTCTCACTCCTTTTTTGTTAGATATTTTCTGCTGTATCTTTTATATTTGCTATTGTTCCTTTTTACTATTTTTTGTGTTATTTATTTAGCCATTGCCTTGTAATTTACAACTAGCATCTTAATTTAGAAAAAATTTGTTCAGATAAAATACTAATTTAATTTCAATGGCATACAAACATTATTCCAACTTCATTTCATGTTTTTCACCCCTTTGTACTGTAATTTTCATACAAGTTATATCTTTATATGTTATAACCCAATCAACACGCTTTTATAATAATTGTTTTTATGCAGCTATGTTCTAAAACAAGTAGGATAAGAAAGGAGTTACAAGCAAATGTGTTTATGTTTTCTTTCATAATAACTGTGTGGATACTTTTACTAGGTCATTTTGTGTCTTCATGTGGTTTCAAGTGACTATTTATTGTCATTTCATTTCAGCCTGAAGGACTTCTTCCTTTAGTGTTTCCTTAGAGCGGGGCTAAAAGTAACAAATGCTCTCAGGTTTTGTTTATTTAGAAATGACAACTTCTCCTTCCTTTATGAGAGAAAGTTTAGCTCGATATAGAATTCTTTGTTGACAAGCTTTTTCTTTTAATACTTTGAAGACGTCAACCTAAATCTCTTCTGACCTCTGTGGTTTCTTATGAAAAGTCAGCTGTTATTATAATTGAGGGTTCCTTGTATGTGATGTTATGTTTTTAGTGCTGTTTTCATTAATTTCTCTTTGTCTAAGTTTTGTCAACTTGACTATGATCTATCTATGTGTGGATCTTTTTGAGCAGAATTTTTTTGAGTAGAAACTTGGAATTTTTTGAACTTCTTAAGTATATATATTATGTTTTATCAAATCGAGAAGGTTGGAGTCATTATTTTTTAAAACTTGTTTCTACATATTTCTCCTTTTCTTCTCTATAGTCTTTATGGTTTTCCTTCTTTTTAAATATTGGATATGTCTCACTCTATACATTATTTATATGTGTCTCTTAAAATAGTAACTTTAAATTATAATTTTAATAAAACATGGTCTAATAATCTAAATATTACTCTCAGGGTTTTCCAGTGACATTTTTTAAAACAAGATAATGAAAACATATATTGTAAAATATAAATATTTACACTATCTGATATGAAGTTCATTAGATACATGTGGCTACTTAATTTTTAATTAATTAAAATCATGTAAAATTTAAAATTCCATCTTTCAGTCACACTATCCACATTACAAGTTTTCAATAGCTAAATGAAACCAACAGCTACTACATTGTACATCGTAGAGATAAAACATTTTCATCATCACAGAAATTTCTGTTAGATAGAACTGTTGCAGATGTATATATCATAAAAAATTCCCCCTTCATAACTCAGTACCCATTTTTGAATGAAGCCATGTAAATATTTGTATCTGTCAAAAATCTTCTACAGAAATATGTTTGTATATATCTTCATGGATCTATACATAAACAATATAATATTCTATAATATATACATTTATATGTGTGTGTATGTGTATATGTAAGTGTATACGTCTACATTATATTTAATTTCAACAGTACATATGGTCTATACTTTTTATCCACTTAATGTATCTTGAAGAGCTTTTTATATGAACTTTTTTAAAACAAAAAAAATTGTGTAATAGCACCATAAAGTGTTCTTGTATGATGTATTACCACTGGTTTAAATATTTTTCTATTACATTACTGCTCCAAAACAAACATAAACAAACAGCAAAGCAGGCATATTTCAAATATATATGTAGGCTAAATATATTCCAGTGTATTGGTGAGTCAAAGAAAGTTTATATTGCAATTTATTAGATAATATCAAATTTCATTAATCAAACCCACCAATAGTGTATGATACTCTCTGTTAGTCCACTCTTCCTGTTGTTGGGTATTGTTCAACCTTTTAGTTATTTTCAATTTGGCTGATAAAAGATAGAATTTAATCCTTATGTTGATTTACAATGATTTAATTATGAGAGAGGTTGAGAATCATCTTTTTATATGTGCATTGGCCATTGTTGTTTTCTGGTGTTTGAATTCCTGTGCATAAGTCTTTCATATTGGGACTTTGCAAATGACACTCATGGCAGGAACATTTTAAAAAAATATTTGTACTTAGTCTTAATCTAACTGGAATTATTCATTCATTAATATCTGTAAAGTCCACTGAAAGGATGTTCTGTGTTTCACATATCTTAATAAACCTTTATCTGTTGAAACTGGCCTGAAAGAAGAAATGAATGAATGTAAAGGAAGAGAGAACAATGGGAACAGTTGTGAGTAAATGTCTATAATTAACTCATTCAGTTATAAACACCTGTTTAATAAAATTGGAGGAATCATCTACCCTATAAGAGTTGGAAATATTACCCTTAAATTTTCCTTCAGTTTTTAAAATGAAATAAAATGAATAATGAAAAAATAAACACACACACTGAACACCTTCTTCCAGCCTTAGGATTAATTCAGCCTCTATTTGGACATTGAAAAACATGCATAAAACTGATTTATCTTAGCATTCTACACACTTCACAAAAAAATTGAAGCTATTGGTGAACATTTCTGAGAAAGTGGACAATACAAGAAAAGGCTTTTGGATTTGGGCCATAAAAATGCAAGTTTAGTGCATGACAACTCAACTAGTGAATGTCTGCCTCAGCTCCTAAGCACAGTTGAGGAGATCAGCAGTGTTTGCAGATGTTCTTGGGAGACAGTAAAATAGAACCCGGTTCTTACTTCAGAGCTTGAGATTTTGCTCAAGACATTGAATCTGGAGGCAGCTCTTGATTGTTTCTTATTGTCATTGTCACTAAATTGGACTTGATTTTATAGGCCTTCTTTCTTTCCCCAACTAAGCAGAAAGTGCCACCAGGGATGTAAATCTAAAATTATTCTTTTCCTTTATTTTTGTTATTTGCTTTGGCATGGAAGGGTCATTTATGATATCTCTGCTTATCAAAAGGATACTGACAAATAAACAGGAAACAGCAAATCAATCTATTATTAGGAGTCCCGAACAGGAGGTATAATGTTACATCGGTTAATATATTCAAGAAATATTGATATTCTAAGCTGAAAACCTGAGCCTTGTTATTCTTTGTTTTTTTTTTTTTTTTCCAAGTGAATTGCACATTCAGAATCTTCTTAATGGTCAGATCCTTATATTTTTTGTTGCTTGCATCCTGTATCTGTTATAATTTCATGTTAAAATTAGAGGATGGAGATATTTTAGCATACCAATATGCTAAGTTGTAAATTATGAAGACATAATGAAAACTCTTAGTTAACTTAGAGAATGTTAATGTAATTAATATGTAAAAACTCTTCCAAATCAATTGAAAATGAACAAAAAATATAAATGGACTTTTTATCAAAAAATATTGTTGATAAATTTAAAAGCTGCTTAACATAATTCACAAACAGGAATATTTATCAACAAGAAGATAGTATTTTTCACATATCCTATTGGCAAAGATTAACCCTGATGTTACCATGTATTGGAAAGACTGTGGAATAATAGAGCCTCTTACTCCTTGATAGCAGGAATGTCATTTGTGTTTTTACTTTGGGTAAAATTTTGTCATTATTGTGTGAAGTATAACTTTCACATGCCCTGTAATCTAAAAATTCCTTCCTAGGTATATACCATAAGGAAGCAATTGCACGTGTATTTCAGGAAACAGGAACAGGGAGGTTTATTCAGTCATAGTTGCAAACAACCACTGGTCTCCTCAACTGTGCTTAGGAGCTATTAATGGATATTTCTGATAAAATGACCTGTAGAATGCATGGCTTTCAACCTTGGAGAATTAAAGTGCAAGTTTAGTAAATGAAAACCCAACTTTTAAATTAATTCACTATGTAAATTATTTATATCCTTGGGTTTCTGGTTAATGTCTAACTCAGTTTGCTTTGATACATATATATATGTTTGCCTATATGATGTATAATTTAATCTTAGTTGGTCTTGAACTTTTGAAAGAGGCATCAGGTAGTCCATGATCATCTTATACTTCCCTTTATCACTCAGCATTTTGTTACTGATTCATGCATATTTGCATTTAACCTGTAGTCCAGTTATTTTATAACTACAAGATATTCTATTTATGTCATTCTCTTGGTTATATGATATGCCATTCTTTACATATATTACCATATATTTATTGTTTATCTTACATTTAAATTTAATTGGGAATTAAATTTGTAATTGCTAAATCTATCACGATTGACAATACGTGAAGAGACAAAAGCTGCAATTAATCCAATTCAAGAGAGAAAATGATAAGGATAGAGTAGATATCTGTCTTATCTATTAATTCATATTTGTCTTATCTGCTAAATAGATATCTGTCTTATCTACTAGTTCATTTTGTATTGCTGTAAAGGAATATCTGAGGCTGGGTAATTTACGTAAAAGATGTTTATTTGGCTAGTGATTCTGTAGACTGTGCGAAAAGCATGGCCCTGGCATCTGCTTCTGGTGAGGGCTTCAAGTTGCTTTATTCATAGTGGAAGGTAAAGGGCAGCCTGCATGTGCAGAGATAACATGGTGAGAAAGGAAGCAAGAAAAAGAGAGAGGACGTGCCAGGCTCTTTTTAACAACCAGCTCTCATGAGAACTAATAGAGTAAGAACTCAGTATGATAAAAATGGCACCAAGCCATTCATGAGGAAGCCTGTCCCATGACCTAAACACCTATCATTAGAGCCCCACCTCCAACACTGGGGATCAAATTTCGATATGAGGTTTGAAGGAGTCAAACATCGAAACTGTAGCAATATCAAATATGGTATCACTGAGGAATATATATGAATATATCAAATCTGGCACAATTAAATATCTTTTTTATTTGTTAACCTATGTTTTCTCCTATTTTTTGGAATTATTAATTATAATGCTAAATTAATGATGTTATATAAACCTAAAATGAGCCTTTGAACCATCAGCTGTCAAGAAGATTTAGTCTTTGAAGCACTACTATTTTTCTGTTTCTATTTCATAAAAAGAAAATTCAGCCATGGTAAAAAAAGTTTTTTTACTTAATATTGGACATTATAGTTTCCCTTCTTTTTGTAAATATGGGAATTGCAAAGCTTTTGGTAACCATTATTTTTCTTACACTAGAAATAAAATCATATTACTAATTGAAATACTTAAAATATGCGTGTTTTAAAATAATAATTATATTATTTTTGTTTATGAAATTATACTCTGTAAAATGTGCCTGATGGGCTATCAGAACAAGAATGAAATTAAGTAACTTTCTACTGGGCAGCTCCGGTCTACTCATCTTGTAAGTATTATGTTACACACATTGTATAAGGCCATGGTGAGGAAAACTCATACCGAAATTCTAATGTCAAATTTTTTAGGACTTCCATAGCTTTTATATGCTGTATTCTTTAATGCAGCTGTGCTTGAAGGTCACAGCACCATTTAAAAATATATATATACTTGATATAGGATGATTATAAAGCACTAAGACAATTTGAAGAATCATTAGACCAGCACAAACTGAACTTCACATAAATAATTTGCATAAATATGGAAGTTACAATATTTCTTTTCTTCTTTCATCAGCCCATAACTTTTCCAATTTATTAAAGTGTTGGGTAGAGAAATATTGGCATGACTCTCAAATTCACCTTTTCTGCCCTATTTTTTTAAGTTATTAATAGATTTCAGTGATCATTAATTTCCACTTTCTGCGAAAAATAAAAATTGCTTTTTAAATGTTTTAGTGTATGGCCTATGATGTAAATGAATAGAATATTATTTTGGCTGTTTACATTTATTGAGCAATAAAAATATATGTGTGTCAGTCTATATGGATTAGTAGGTATTGATTCAATACTCATAAAAATTACGTAGTTGTATCATGGCATTTTCTGCATTGGGTTGTTTTATTAAATACTCCAATATCAAAATGCATGGTAACAAGAAAATATATATATAGAGAGAGCATCTATTATGTTTACAAAATATAGATATTGCAGATGTCAGGAAAGAGATATAATTTAAGCATGATCATAATTAATTAGTCAGCTAAGAAAAGAGAACATGAAAAAATACACAGTAAAAAAAATTGATTTTAAAATTTTCTGCATATATAGCCAGCTATAGCTACAGAGAACAATCAAGCCTTTGTTTACAGCTAAATTATAAAAGCTATTTGCTTCTTTTCTGTTCTTAAATCCAGACAGTGAAAGAGAGTGTGTCTTTTGCATCATTCTAGGGACTGCTGCCTCCTTTCCCAGCTTCTCTTGATTTCCCTTTTCTTCTTTTCAACTAGATCGTAATCTTTTTCCCTCTTCTCCTCCACTTATGGTCCACTGGCTTTCTAAAATCCTTCCTCATGCTCAAACCAGGGAATTTGGTCATTTATGGACTGCACTATGAAAGAAGCATTTTCATAATATATACTTAATTACATGTTTCAAAATTAACATCTTTCCAAAATGATAGATGGCTTTTCTAAATATTTTTGTCAGGTATCAAAAAACTAATAATGAGATTGAGTAGTGAGGGAAGTTATACCCTAAATAAATTAAACATAAAGGATGGCCGGGCGTCATGGCTCACGCCTGCAATCCCAGCACTTTGGGAGGCCAAGGCAGGTGGATCATGAGGTCAGGAGTTTGAGACCAGTCTGGCCAACATAGTGAAACCCCGTCTCTACTAAAAATACAAAAAATTAGCCGGGCGTGGTGGCGGGCACCTGTAGTCCCAGCTACTCGGGAGGCTGAGGCAGGAGAACTGCATGAACCTGGGAGGCACAGGTTGCAGTGAGCCAAGATAGCGCCATTGCACTCCAGCCCGGGTGACAGTGCGAGACTCCATCAAAAAACAAAACAAAACAAAACATAAAGGATATGTGTGTGAATATTTAGGGAGTTTGATGGGCTGGAGGTTGAGGGAGCAGGGAAAATATCATAGGATCCAAGAAGACTTACATTTTTGTCTCCATCATTCACTATCTGTTAAAAATGTACCCATCTATACTTTCAGAATTATTCAGCCAAAGCTCCTGGAGCATGATTTTTTTTTTTAATTTTGTAAATAGAGATGTCTTTAGATATTTTTATTACCAGCTTATTCCAAGGTCTAGAACAATACACATCCCTACTACACAGTTCCTAAGGTTCTGCCGTTTCTCAATGTTAAGGCAACCAAGTCCTTTATACCAACTTGTATTAATTGTAACTGCATCTCTCATTCTGCCTTCACTCAGTCTTTTCTCAGTCTCAAGTCATGCAAATGAATATTTTATGTTTTCTGACACTTCTGACATTTAAGTTTGTGTTTAATGATTTCTTGCTATGATCTTTAATATCTGACATCTTGGAATACCATCATTATCTCATTTTCTACCTCTAGTTATAATGTTTCTGACAAAAGTGAATCATTGTAATGGGGCCTCTTAATAGGGACATTACCGTGGCAATAAAAGATGTAAATTGCAGTTCCAAACAACCTAGAAGTGCAATCACGAAACAGTGATCAATGGTTAGATGAACTGCACGTGTAATTAAATACATGTGAGGTCAGATGAATCACTTGAGCTAAGAAGGACAGGGAAGGCTTAAAGGAGAAGAATTAGAATGATCCTTCAGAGAAACACAATTTGAGTAAGGAAAAGGGAAAGGTGAAGGTGGTATAGCAAGTAGAGAAAGTTGAACAAAGGTACAAGAAAAAGAAAACATGCACATTTAAAGAATACAAGCAATGGTACACCATGTTCATAACTGCATGATTACTGGCCCACCCGGTAGAGCATGTCATTTGGGGAACTTGTTCCTTTTCTTTAGAGGGCATGGATTTACGTGGAACATAAACTTTCATCTATTACTCTGTATAAATGATAAAAGATGAGGCTTTCTGGCATCTCTCTTAAACTCCAGGCTTTTTATCCACAAATCCTGCACATTTCCTATTGGCTATCCTTCAGGAGCGATAACAATAATGTATATAAAATTCGAATGTCTAAAACTTTCCTCAAAATATGCCTGTTTTTCTTTATTTTCTCCAGTGAGAATGTTACAAAAGCAACATTCACCCAATGATAAAAACTTGAAAACCTGGAGTTATTCTGTATACTTTCTTCTTTCTCCATCTTCAAATCTAATCCTTATTTTTTTTTTTTTGTATTTTATTCACAATCTCCCCTGTACATGTCCCTTTCACTCTTTGCCTCTGCTTCTTCCTTAACTTTGTAACATTGCTTTCTTGGATTGTCATGAGCCTCTTACCATCTCTCATGAACTCGAGATGTCATCAAATCTAACTAGTTTTTCACCCAGTTGCCAAGGTAATAGTTCTAAATTCAAACCTGATTTTGCTTCTTTCTTGGCTTTCAGTTTTACCACTTATGAAAACAGTAATAAGCACTGGCATATTCATGTTGACAATAATGCATACTTCATACATAATAGCAGTAATCTATGGAATCATCCCTCATCTTCCCAAGAATTGTTTTTAAGCTACTTGTGCATTTTTTGAAGTTTATTCTCATATTGTAGGTTGTAATTCAAAACTGGCAAGCTTGTAGGCTCCAGACAGAATCTGGCCCCCAAGTATATTTAGGATTGAATCATAATTTTAAAATTATGAAATTATAAGTTAAATTTTGCTTTCTAACTTTTTTGAAAAAAATGGAAAACTAGCAATACTGTGTATTTTTCTATAGGACATTGTATCTGGAGCTGAGGAGCTACTGTGCTCTTTTAAATAGGCGGTCTGATTACTCCGCCTCTCTGTGATTCTTACACAGACAGCTTCAGTCTTACCCTGCTTACCCAGTGGTTTCAAGCAACCATGTTTTGGACCCTTGCTCTACCAGTGACTAACGAGGTTCATGACATGCATCTTATCCTGAACAATATGGAAAGGGAAACATCCTAGTGGGTTTGGTTTCCCAACTTTGTAGCACCTTCAGTGTCTGCCTGGGGGCTTGTTGTACAGTGAATGTTCAACACATAAGATTCGCTTGAATGGAATGATACGTACAAAACAGGCACCACCAAATGTTCCCAAGCTGCCGGAAAACATACATTTGTTTCTCTACTTGATCACATACCTTGTCTTTCTTGCTTAATTCATCTAGTTAATCACCTGCATATTTGCTTTACTCTGTTTATCATATCTTGCTTGCCTTCAACAGAATGTACATAGATGGCAGGATTCATGCATTTTTATGCCCTTTGTACTATTTTGGATGTCGAAAACTGGACAGGCAGGCATCATTGCTGAGTAATGGCAATGAACACATGTGGAAATTACTTTTGCATCCTTTCATTTCAATAGTAATTAAGTTGTTAAATATGAAGGTACTGTAATAGCATTATTGGCAATAATCAACTTCCCCAAACCACAATTTGAAGTCATATTAAGTTGAAATTAAACCAGAACTATTTAATGTCTACAATTAGAATCAGTGTTGACCAAGATGTCTCCTGTGGCTGAAAGAAAGAATACCCCAAATGCAATAAATAATAACATTAAAGGCATACACTAAGAGGGATTGACCTAAGATTTCCAACATCTTCTGGCGTGTTGACTAAGCTGCCGAGATACGTTTCTTATTCGTGTATCATCAGTAAGTTTCTCTGCAGCATCAGTGACCTGCCCACGACTCTTTAATTTCAGAGAAGATTCAGCAGCTTGGGCCCCGGAAAAGATATTTGGAAAATTTCCCAGTTTGTGTGCTGCATAAGCTTGAGGCAGTAGAGGGATAATTAATAAAGTGCCAGACTGGGTAATTGTAGGAACTGTAAAAGATACTAAGACGTTGTTACCGGAGGCACAGACGCACCTGTGAAAGCGTGAAGTTAATTTGTGTGAGGAACATCACATGAGGGTGGATGAGGATGAGGGAGGTGAGATTTCCTTCAAATTAATTCAGACTTTAGTCAGAGAAGCTCTCAAAAAAAAAAAAAAAAAAAAAAAAAACCCTCCTGCTAGTGAGATAATGTAAGGCTTATGAAAAGAGGCCCTCCTGGATTGTCTTGTTACGTATGCTTCTCTCTGACCTTGAGAAAGGTGTAACAACTGCAACGTTGGAATTTTCTAATCCCTGTAGGACAAGAATGATGACATTGCCCTATCAGTCTTTACATAACAGCGTACCATTTCATACTGTCCCCTTGAACATTTCCTTAAAAACAATACACCTCCTGATACTATAATGTTGGATACTTTGTGTATCCAGTGTCACCCCAAATTCCCCATAGGTTAATTTCTATCAAATTTCAATATACAATAAAGTAATGAGAGAGAGAATTAGGTCGTATCATAGTATTGCCCTGAAGACTGTTTAAAATCATTGATAACTGCAAAGTTCCTAACAACTTGCAGACCACATGGTAGATGACTGATCAGTGGTAGCTGCTAATGTTGTTATTTTCATGGTTATTTAAATGGATCTTTTAAAAACTAAAAAACAAAATTCTTGACATGAATTGTTGCCAGTGAATGTTGTTATCTTCTTCTAAAATGCCTTATATGTAGATTGTACAAGATAGGTGTAAACCCCCATACCTTAGCATTGCCATATGGTGATGTCTCGCTGACCATTCCATTCTCTTGCATATCTGGCTCAGGAATTAATAACCTATGTCATTCCAAAAATGATTCTCTGATACCAATTGAGTGCTCTACAATTCAATTCAATACGGAGACTAATTACCAGGAATTAGCGTACACCCACAGTTAAGGAGCTCAATTCCCCTGGTCTGTCCTCACCTCAGATGCCAGCTGCCAGTCCCTGGTCCCAATGGTACTGAATTATGTCCAACCTGGCTACAAATGTGAGGGTTCTCATTACCCCTTTTCAGGCTGGAGAATTTCTTAGAATGACTCAAAGAGCTCGGACAAGAGCTATTCTTATGAGTAGCAGTTTATTGTAGAGGGTACAAATGAACAGCTAGATGAAGAGATATATGGGGTGATGTCTGAAGGGGTCCCCAGCACAGGAGGCTCTTTCTCTTTGGACTGGGGTACATCACCCTCCCAATGCATCCATATGTTTACCAACCAGATGGTTCCCTCAACCCTTATCATTCAGAGTTTCTAAGCAAGGTTTCATCACTTAGGCATGATTTATTCAATCACTGGCCAGTTGCTGAACTCTGATCTCCAGCTCTTCTCTCCTACCAGATCTTAGAGTGGGGCTGAAATTTCTAAACTTGTAATCGCATGATTGATGTGATCTGATGACCAGCTTAATCCTGAAACTATAAGCTAACGCCTCCCCTCACAAAGAGTCCTCTGATGTTGCAGTCGCATTAGCATGAAATCGAATAAAGTGCAAAGAAGTTTGCTATGAATAACAAAAGACATTTCTATCATTTAGGAAATTTCAAGGGTTTTTGGAGCTCTGTGCCAAGAACCAGAGAAAAGACCAAATATATATTTTATTATACCACCCAAACTTGCCAAATATTGATTAGTCTGAATTTCTTATCCTATCCATTGTGTTTTGGGGTCCCTATGTAAAACAAACAAACAAACAAACAAAAACAAAACAAAGAAACTCTGACTTTACACTTTTCTGGACTTTATAGAGAGCAGTCTTATGGAAACTATAAGGTGTGCACAATTGTTTATGCACGTATTTCTCTGCAAATACCATGCAAAGTATCTATTATGCTTAAAATTTTATACTATTTATTTTGTGTTTTTTTGTTTCTATTTTGGAGTTTTTTCACACATCAACTCAATGTGCTTGCCCTCTCTTTAGACGTGAATTAGACAAATATCTCTATTTCAAGTGAAATCTTTTTTCTACCTTGAATGTATTTGTTTCATTGTGTAGTTTAAATTCCTTCTGTCCTCAAATTTGTTCAATTATTAGATTATAGGCTCAAAATTAGTCAAGTACAGTGTAGTAGTTTTTGTTTGACATCAAATGCAATGTTCTGTATTTGTGTTTTAATCTGTTTCACCCTGGGGATTTCCTTTAAAGAGAGTCTGTCTTTAATGTTAGTATCTTTTTAAATATAAACATTCAACCAGTAAGAATACAAAAACACAGAGACAGAAAATTATGACAAACAGAATGTCAATACTTCTTTTCCTTTTGATTAATCTAGCATGCAAATTATAAAAGCATTTTGGTTACTCAGGAATTTCAATAGGCCTTTGAACTTTTTAAATAATAAAAATATTAACATATTCTTTAAGAGATAACATATAGAAAGATATATTAGCAAACCTGTTCTTACTGAAATGTCTAATATGTCCTCTTTAAGCTTTTTATATTCATCTGAATAATCATACATACATACATGCAAATATGTATACAATATAAAAGAAATGAGAATGCCATTTTATAGTGCTATGAAAATTGATTTTTTTTTACATTTATACATCCAAATTCATGTTAAGAAGTTTTTAAATATAACTGGTTTTTTTTTCTTTTTCTAGGTAACCTTCAAAGCATCAAGACATTCAGTTTCACCAGATTTAAAATATGTCCTTCTGGCATATGATGTCAAACAGGTAAAGGAGTGATCTTCTTTGAGAATACTTTTCTTTGTGATGCATTGGGGTGACAATGCATAATTTTACTCAGCTATAACTCACCTAAGCAAAATCTGGCATGTCTAGTAACTACCGGAGGACAGTAATGACTACTTTGCACAAAAGATGTTTGAAGATAATGTCCAAACATCTTCCATATCTGCACAGCAAATAATTGGGACAGTTTGCCCAGTGCCTGTGCTGATCCAAGTCCATCTCTTGGCAGAGGAGAATGTGGCAGAGTTTAGCAAATCCAACAAATGCGGGCTTGTGAAAGTTTCAAGATAAGCCTTACCATATACTTGAGTGTTTCATGTGTGTACAGATTAGAGACTTTCCTAGTGGCTGTGCCTAGAGCTTCAGATGTGTATATTGGGAAGGCAACTGCTGAAAACATTGATTATGGTCAAGGGATTCTTTACTGGTATTTGATTGTCAGCTTGGGGTTGTAGAAAATTTTGCAAATGGGGCAAGCCAAGCAATTAATTCTGAACAAATAAAATGTTCTAATTGAAATTAGTGTTTCCTTATTCCATGTGAGCCCTAAAGCACAATTAGAGCAATATGTATGGTTGTTGAGTGTTTTGTACTTAGGTATCATTTGCACGATTAAAAAGCAAAGTAAATGTTGGAAAGCCAATTCAGCAGATTAGTATCTGTAAAGAATAAATGATTGGAAATCATTCAAGGACGTTTATGAGCTTTAAGACGAACAATAAAAATTTATGAACTTAAGGCAGGAAGCCTCATATAATGCTTTGAAAGCCTTTTGAACACATGGAATTTCACAGTTCGAAAGAACTGCTATTTGATGGCTTTAGTCTTTTGGAATATACATGTGCTATATTTTTAAGGTTATATTTTTTGACTTAAGTAATTTATGCTGTAAAAGACAGAGGGATTTTAGTCAAAGGCCTCTTTTCCTAGTATAGATGTTGGCCTGTTGTCTTATCTTTTGCTTTGAGTTATCTTTATTCATTGGGATTTTGTAAGTCATATGTTATAGTAAGAAAAATACTTGACATTTATAGACTAAAATATTATGCTAAAAAGTTTCTAACATAACATTATCTGAAAAATCTAAGCTTGAAAAGTCTGCTATATTAAACTGATCATGAACTTTTAAAAAATCAGGTTTCAGGAGCTATTGTAATGAAGACTGGAACTGGCAGTAGGACAAACACATAGATCAATGAAAGAGAAGAGAGAACCCAGAAATAGACCCTCACAACTATGCCTAATAGATTGTTGGCAAAGGTGCACAAGCAATTTAATGGAGGACAGTCTTTTCAACAACTAGTGCCAGAACAATCAGATATCCATAGGCAAAAAATAAAAACAAAAAGCCCACAAAAAACAAAAACATCATATTGGCTTAAGCCACACACCTTATACAAACTCAGAATGGATCATGCTTTTAAATGTAAAGTATAAATCTATAAAACTTTTAGAAAAAAATGTTTGGGATTTAAGGCTAGGGAAAAATTTCTTAAACTGTATACCAAAAGCACAGTCCAAAGGAGGATAAACTATTGTTCCATGATAGACCCTGTTTTCAGGCTAAAAATACAAGTTACAGTCTAGAAGAAAATATTTGAAATTCCCATGTGTGACAAAGGATCAACATTCATATATAAAGAATTCTTAAAAATGAACGGTTAAAAACAACAACTATAACAAAAACACAACTATACAATCAGAAAGTGGGCCCAGACATGAAGAGACATTTCACTGAAGATTTACAGATGGCAATAAGTACATGAAAATATTTTAACATTACTAGCCAATAGGTAAATGCAAATTGAAACTACAATAGAATATCACTACGAATCTATCAGAATGGTTAATTTTTTTTAAGTGACCACACCCAATGATGGCAAGCATGCAGAGAAACTGGATCATTCATACATTGCAGTTGGAATGTATAATGGTACAGCTACTTTGGAAGATATTTTGATAGTTTTTTAAAAAACTAAGCATATATTTGGGTTGGTTCCAAGTCTTTGCTATTGTGAGTTATGCCACAATAAACATATGTGTGCATGTGTCTTTATAGCAGCATTATTTGTATTCCTTTGGGTATATACCCAGTAATGGGATGGCTGGGTCAAATGATATTTCTAGTTCTGGATCCCTGAGGAATTGCCACACTGTCTTCCACAATGGTTGAACTAGTTTACAGTCCAACAATGATAGACTGGATTAAGAAAATGTTGTGGGGTGGGGGAGTGGGGAGGGATAGCATTAGGAGATATACCTAATGCAAATGACGAGTTAATGGGTACAGCACACCAACATGGCACATATATACATATGTAACAAACCTGCACATTGTGCACATGTACCCTAGAACTTAAAGTATAATAAAAATAAATAAATAAATAAATAAATAAAAACCAAAAAAAAGAAATCTAATTATACCACATAAATAAACCAACATTTATTTAAACATTAAAAAAAAAACTAAGCATATACTACCATCCGACCCAGCAATTAAATTTCACTGGACAATTCCTTCAAGTCATTTATCCCGGATACATAAAAGTATTCACACAAAAACCTGTATGCAAATATTTGCAGCAGCCTTATTTATAATAGCCAAAAACTGAGACAGCCCAGATGTTCTTCAAAGGATGAATGGCTAGATAAACTGTGGTCCATTCATCCCATGTAATAAATATTCAGCAATACAAAGGAACAAGCTTTCAATGTAGACAGAAACATGGATAAATCTTCGGAATTATGCCAAGTGAAAAAAAAACAGTCCCAAATATGATTGTTTGTATGATTTCATCTATATAACATTCTCAAAATGGCAAAATTAAAGAAATGAAGAAGAGATTAGTAGTTTCCAGGAGAAAAGGAGGGAAATGAGAGCAGCTTTTTTTGTTTTATGGGACAACAAGAGGGATCTTTGTGGAGATAGAAATGCTCTGTATCTTAATTATATAAATGTCAATGTCCTTGTTGTTTTCTTGACCTGGTTGTTTACTTGACCAGGATTTCTTATAGTTTTATAAGATAGTATCGGTGGGGAAAACTGGGTGAAGAACACCTGTGATCTCTCAGTATTATTTATTATAATGGCATGTAAAAATAATTATGTCAAAATAAAAGATTTTAACTTGAAAAAGCTGTAATTTTTTAAAAAGTCCTAAAATAAGGCAAATTTTTTTTTTTTCCGGTGGGAGGGAGGCCGAGAGTTTCACTCTTGTTGCCCAGGCTGTAGTACAATGCACGATCTCTGCTCACTGCAACCTCCACCTCCCAGGTTCAAGTGATTCTCTTGCCTCAGCCTCCTGAGTAGCTGGGATTACAGGCATGCACCACCACGCCCAGCTAGTTTTGTGTTTTTAGTAGAGATAAAGTTTCACCATGTTGGTCAGGCTGGATTTGAACTCCTGACCTCAGGGGATCCACCCGCTTCAGCCTTGCAAGTGTGAGCCAACATGCCTGGTGGCAAAAGTTTTTTTTTTTTTTTTTAATTCAGTTTCAATTTATTTTATTAAGTGTATGGATTATGCAAGATCATTGAAATCTTTTACCCCGAACAAGGTACTGGAAAGAGGTAAAAAGATTTAAGTATGCATTTCCACATTTATAGTTTTATGCAAATCTGATACAGTTTTTAAAGATTAGTGAATGAAAATAGTTAAAAGTAGTAAAAAATGATCAATTATTAAATAAACTAGTGAAATTAGTTTGAGAACTTTTGTATTCTTGTCCAAGTCAGTTGATTTCTATCTAGAAGAACAATTTTTACTATTTGTTTTCAGGGAAGCTGGTTAACTGTCTATGAAAAGTAAAACTGTTTTAGGTTATGCCAGATCATCCCTGATAGTGTCACAATAACCATTCTCTAAACACAGAAACTGAAACTGCTTTTTCATCTTATTTTTAAATAGTAACTTTGTGTAATTTAGGTTTATGTTTTTAAAATGTGGAATAAGGAACATAAAACTAGGTTAACTTTGAGTATTTGGACAAAATAGGGCACAAACTTTTAAAAATATAATTAACAATATAAACATAATTATGGACCAGTCTTCATATTCTTATGGTCTTTTTTTTCTTATCAAGGAACAATAAAGATACTTTATGACAAAATAACTGGAGGTGAAAGAATGCTAGCATTTAAATAAATTTTAGAAACTTTATTTCACCATTTTATATCATTTCATTTATTTATTCATTTTATTTATTAATTATGTCCCAGGTGCAATTGCTGGGCTGTATATTATAGGGTGTATTTGTGGGTATGCTCACATAAATTGAATTACCTCCTTCAAGAAATTTATAACCAGGAAGAGGTGATATGACACAAACATTTATATCCACAGCATACAACATCATGTTATGTATCATATATATGGTAGTTTCAAAGAATAAGGAAAACTTTTACTCAGGGTAATCATGTTAGAGAAGAATCATATGCTGGGCTTTGAAGAGCAGACAGCTAAAAATGAATAGAAAAACAGGAGTTTGAGACCAGCCTGGCCAACATGGTGAAATGCCATCTCCACAAAAAATACAAAAAATTTAGTTGGGTGTGGTGGCACACACCTGCAGTCCCAGCTACTTTGGAGGCTGAGGAGGAGAATCACTTGAACCCAGGAGGCAGAGATTTTAGTGAGCTGAGATTGACTACTGCACTCCAGCCTGAGTGACAGGGCAAGACTCTGTCTCAAAAAAAAAAATTAAATAAAGAAATAGATAAATAAATAAATAAGGCAAGCAGTCATTCTCACTCTTGGCTATGGCATTAGAATCATCTGGAGAGTTTTACAAATTGTTTATGCTGAGGCCCTCTCCTGCAGAAACTCTGATTTAATTGGCCTGAGGTATAGCCCCAGCTTTGGAGTTTTACAAACTCCCCAGGAGATAATGTGCAGCTAGGGTTGAAGACCATTGAATTTAAGTGAACTGATCTCTTCCACCCATTGAAGACTTTCCAGATTTCAGAAAAGGGAAACATTAGAAATAAAAATAAAAACAGCTAATTATTTAAACTGCATGTATTTTGTGCCAAAGTCTTTACTTGTACACGCTTAATCCTTATATCTTTTATTCTTAACACACAACAGTAGTTGGTGTTATTCTTCCTTTATTGGTGAAAATACAGAGACTAACTTACCTAATATGATTCAAGATTGAGTTTTTTTTTTTTTTTCCTGAAACAGTGGGTCTCAATGTACATGCTCAGCATAGCAGCATCAGCATAGCCTGGGAAGTTATTAAAAATCCAAATTCTGTTGTCCCATTGAGACAGAAACTCTAGGAGTGGGCCCAGCAATCTGTGGTTTGACAAGCGTAAGTGATTCTGATGCATTCAAGACTGAGAACCAGTGTTTAGGGACCTGATTCCTTAAACTGCAAGAGCGCTACCTAAGAAGAGAGCTACGCAGCCAGAATCTCACCATATGCAGGACAAAGATTAATAGAAAATATCATTTAAGAGCAATGATCTACCCTGTTTTTCTTTAGTTTTTCACAATTATTTCTTCCTGGATTTAACGTCCAACTGTTCATTTCTGACCTTGGATGTTGCTCTAGTAACAAATTTACCCTTCAAGGTTAATGTTTGATCTGTTTTCATTATAGGTGGCATAGTGGGGTGTGCATGGAAGTTGGAAGAAAATATGTGTTTAAATTCAAATTATCCATATTAAAATTTGTATTGAAATATAACATACCTATAGGAGCTTGCATATACTATGAAGATAGCTTGAACTTCTATAAACCAAACACCTGTATGGTGCCATCACCCAGATAAAGCAGCAAAACATTGCTGTTCTCCATTCTGTTACTACGAGCCACAAGGGAGAACACTGTCTACATTTGTAAAGATTAATTCTGCCTGTTTTTGCACTTTAGGTAAATTCACACACTATGTACTGTTTTGTGTATCTCTTATTTTACTCAATAATTAGTTCATAAAATATATCCGTAGTTTTCAAGTATTGTATAACAGATTGTACATTCCCACTATGATATACCATTCCATTGCACATATCACAATTGATCCACTCTACTGTTGATTAGATTGTAATACAGATGTACATGAGCAATGCATTATTGTATAGATTATTTGTCTGATCACTCTCTATTTCCCATCCATTACTCTGCTTCTTCTTTGACACCTATTTCAAAAAAATATTATTTAAGAGGGCACAAACATTTTTTGGGTGCTTAGATAGTGCATCTGCCGTGGAAGTGTGTTTATCAATGTAAACCTCCCAAAGTCCCGCTTCTTGGCTGTTTATATCATATTTTACAGAGGAGACAGACTTAGAGATATTAACTAACTTCCTCAAGGGCCCCAGTTCACAGTTGCAGAGCTGGGAGTGAATTTTTTTTCTTAGCTCCAAAGTCCCTAGCTTTTCGATTACTTTGTCATTTTCAGAAAGTTCTTATTTATCTTTACAGATTAACTGTGTATTTTCCTATTTATTTGAAATCATATCAACTAATTCCTAATTAATTAATTGGAAGGCAAGTGAAACATACTACAATATGTATTTAATAAACATATTACAATATCAAACAATATATGATTTTCAATACTCAGTACTTAATATACTTCTCCAGACATAGTGGTTAGACATTTTATTTTTGTATTTGCATCTTTACAACTGTTTCTCAAAATAGTCAATGAAATAATCATTCTGGAATGCCTTTTAATGCCATAAAATTAAAACCATACTTTTAAAGAAGATGAAAGCATTCCAAAGTATGGCAAATCATGATATGTTAAAACCTTGATGATCAGAATATTTGTGGTTAATATTTGTCATCTAGTATTTTGATAGTCAACATATCAGACTAAATTATTTTTTCAGCATTCTGAGTCATGTATATAAATAGTTTTAATTTAACCAATAAATCTATGTAATTTTATATATTATCCATATATATTTGGAATTATTGGTCCATTGGAATTATTTAACAATTGTATTTTTAAGCCATCCTTAAAAAGTCAAGAGTCCTTTACCGCATTTTTTTAAGGACAAACATGAAGTAAGGAGAAATCAATTTTTTTAAAATTTTTAAACAAATTTATAGTTTTATAGTTTTCTTGTTTGGATTTAAAATACACCATGTCAAGTAGACTAGTTAACTATTTTACACTGTCAACCACTTTCTTAATACATCTTATGTTTGTTATCAGAAACTTTAATTAAATTTACTCTTGTTTCAGCAGAATTAGAGCTGTCCTCTATACATAATGGGACATAAATCTGCATAAGAATTAGCTTTTTCCGAATGCAAGAGTAACAGTTGAATGAATCCTTTAAATCGTGTCTACTAGAGGGAACAAATCAACCGTAGCTGGGCTACATCTGCTATGTTAGTAGTATCTGTCCTCTAAATTCGATGCTCTGCAAAAGATCAGCATTGTTATTTTCTACAGTTAGATGCATTCATTTCAGTTTAGGTCTCTACTATTTTATAGCTCTGGGTACAGAATTATTTTTCTGGTAAGTATCTATTTTAACTAAGAAGTAATCCTGTAAAATGCATCCTGCATGCACTACTGCTTTAAGAAGTAACTCTTCTCTAGTGAATTATCTAATTAAAGTCTGGACCTTAATACTTCAGTGCTTTACAATTACAGATACATATTTAAAAATTCTGGGGGAGTACATAATCTGGTTATAGAATTATCTAGGCTGTTAAAATTCATACATTCGGGGTTCACTAATATTTCAAAAAATACAAACTCAAAGAAAGCACAGTCTGGGAAAGTTACTGTGTTCAAACATGTGGGACTCTGAGTTCATCCTGAAATCCTCCTGCCTTCTAGTGCCCATAGAATACTCACCTTTCCTCGTTTGTAGTTGCTGCTGCTGAACTGCCTTCCTATGTAACCTTCTCCTTACTACACAGAGATATTAAGGCATTAAAAATAAGTTAGTATCAATTTTGGAATATTTCTTTTGGGTTAAGGCAAAAATTGAAAAGTCCCTAGGAGGTGGACAAAAAGGAAGGAAAGAAGTAAACACAAGAAATATTTTTGGAAGCCAGTATTTACAACATTTTTTGGTGAAAGTTACTAATGTATTTATCAATTTATCACTAATTAAACAACACACTTTTATTTATTTTTTTATTTTTTATTTTTTTTTATTATTATACTTCAAGTTTTAGGGTACATGTGCACAATGTGCAGGTTAGTTACATACGTATACATGTGCCATGCTGGTGTGCTGCACCCACTAACTCGTCATCTAGCATTAGGTATATCTCCCAATGCTATCCCTCCCCACTCCCGGCACCCCACAACAGTCCCTAGAGTGTGATGTTCCCCTTCCTGTGTCCATGTGATCTCATTGTTCAATTCCCACCTATGAGTGAGAATATGCGGTGTTTGGTTTTTTGTTCTTGCGATAGTTTACTGAGAATGATGATTTCCAATTTCATCCATGTCCCTACAAAGGACATGAACTCATCATTTTTTATGGCTGCATAGTATTCCATGGTGTATATGTGCCACATTTTCTTAATCCAGTCTATCATTGTTGGACATTTGGGTTGGTTCCAAGTCTTTGCTATTTTGAATAATGCCGCAATAAACATACGTGTGCATGTGTCTTTATAGCAGCATGATTCATAGTCCTTTGGGTATATACCCAGTAATGGGATGGCTGGATCAAATGGTATTTCTAGTTCTAGATCCCTGAGGAATCGCCACACTGAGTTCCACAATGGTTGAACTAGTTTACAGTCCCACCAACAGTGTAAAAGTGTTCCTATTTCTCCACATCCTCTCCAGCACCTGTTGTTTCCTGACTTTTTTAATGATTGCCATTCTAACTAGTGTGAGATGGTATCTCATTGTGGTTTTGATTTGCATTTCTCTGATGGCCAGTGATGGTGAGCGTTTTTTCATGTGTTTTTTGACTGCATAAATGTCTTCTTTTGAGAAGTGTCTGTTCATGTCCTTCGCCCACTTTTTGATGGGGTTGTTTGTTTTTTTCTTGTAAATTTGTTTGAGTTCATTGTAGATTCTGGATATTAGCCCTTTGTCAGATGAGTAGGTTGCGAAAATTTTCTCCCATTTTGTAGGTTGCCTGTTCACTCTGATGGTAGTTTCTTTTGCTGTGCAGAAGCTCTTTACTTTAATTAGATCCCATTTGTCAATTTTGCCTTTTGTTGCCATTGCTTTTGGTGTTTTAGACATGAAGTCCTCGCCCATGCCTATGTCCTGAATGGTATTGCCTAGGTTTTCTTCTAGGGTTTTTATGGTTTTAGGTCTAACGTTTAAGTCTTTAATCCATCTTGAATTGATTTTTTTATAAGGTGTAAGGAAGGGATCCAGTTTCAGCTTTCTACATATGGCTAGCCAGTTTTCCCAGCACCATTTATTAAATAGGGAATCCTTTCCCCATTGCTTGTTTTTCTCAGATTTCTCAAAGATCAGATAGTTGCAGATATGTGGCGTTATTTCTGAGGGCTCTGTTCTGTTCCATTGATCTATATCTCTGTTTTGGTACCACTACCATGCTGTTTTGGTTACTGTAGCCTTGTAGTATAGTTTGAAGTCAGGTAGTGTGATGCCTCCAGCTTTGTTCTTTTGGCTTAGGATTGACTTGGTGATGCGGGCTCTTTTTTGGTTCCATATGAACTTTAAAGTAGTTTTTTCCAATTCTGTGAAGAAAGGCATTGGTAGCTTGATGGGGATGGCATTGAATCTGTAAATTACCTTGGGCAGTATGGCCATTTTCACGATATTGATTCTTCCTACCCATGAGCATGGAATGTTCTTCCATTTGTTTGTATCCTCTTTTATTTCCTTGAGCAGCGATTTGTAGTTCTCCTTGAAGAGGTCCTTCACCTCCCTTGTAAGTTGGATTCCTAGGTATTTTATTCTCTTTGAAGCAATTGTGAATGGGAGTTCACTCATGATTTGGTTCTCTGTTTGTCTGTTGTTGGTGTATAAGAATGCTTGTGATTTTTGCACATTGATTTTGTATCCTGAGACTTTGCTGAAGTTGCTTATCAGCTTAAGGAGATTTTGGGCTGAGACAATGGGGTTTTCTAGATATACAACAACATACTTTTAAATAGCATCTTTTTATTTTGAAATAATATAACTGTATTATAGAGAATCTGAAAATACACACACAAAAAAAGAAGATAGAAATAATGCCTCTATCCACCTCCGTTTTTTAGAGAAAACCACTGTTAATGTACTGGTTTATCTCATCTAATTCTTATTTATTGTTATTAGTATGTAATATTTTTTCCACTTATAGACAAAATTATAAAAATAGTATAACACAGTTTACTATCATGAACATTCCACTATGAACATTGTTCCTTGTCTTAAATATTTCTCAAAAACATTATTTTAATGGCTTTACCATCTTTTCATGTGGTGATATCATAATTTATTCAACTCAATATCTTTAATATTTATAGATAGTTGACAGATTAGCACTCTCACTATTACAAAAATCTGTCCTGCAACGAACACTAATAAATATCTGTCTTTGTTTATTCTCAGTTAAATTAATGAGACTGAAATTATGGGATTATATATTTTTTACATTAATTAGTGTTCTTGATGCATATTGCTAAAATGCCCACTAGAAAGCAAAGTAAATGTATGCTTCCCCAGTAAAGAGAAATAATTTAAGGTTCCTTTTGGTTTATGATGCTATTTTATAGGACACGAATGCTTTTTCTAAGGTAAATGAACAAACATAAACAACAAAATTATTTATGGATAGGAGAATCTGTGATATGTTAGCAATTTCTGATTCCTTCTTACACTGAAAGCTCTGTGATTCATATTCACTCTCTAAGTGCAAATATCTAAGCTCAAGTCATTGAGAAAGTAAACCTATTTTAAAAAAAATAAACACCTTCAATATCAAATAATTGCCTTCATTACTCTGGTAAAATTACACTAGGATTAATAGATGAGTAGAATTAGCAAGCGATGGAGTAAAAGTAAGTTTCTCCTCATAGGAGTTATTTAGTGAGACTTATTTTAAAACTGTTACTACACAAGACAGTCCTTAATTGTAAAACATAATGGAGTCATCATTTGTATCTATTCACAGGTAGTTTATTTCTATAGAAATAATATCATGTTCTCATTTTAAACTGCAAGATGCAGGTTCCAACCTTCTTCTTTAGCTTTGCATTCATTTACAACATACAGGTAAATTTGAAACATGTTTTTAGAATTGGTACCTATATATACTTGTATTAAGATTATGGACTCTTCTTTAGTTCAGTGGGTTCCTGCATGTGCCTGTTATTTATTTTTACTATCATGAGATAAGTATCTAAGACAATAAAGCAACCTATTTCCTTATGGTGTGTTGACTGGCAAAGAATCCCCTTGCACATGGGGAGGCCACAAAGTAGAAATAGGCTTAGCATGGAGAAAAAGTAAAGTGAGTCCCTATATATTTGGCAAATATTAGGTTGAATGTGAGTTAAGCAGTTTTCTCTATTATAAGGCTTTAGAGAGATTTTAATAAGTTAGTGTATTATAATTTATCAAATGGAAGAAAACATAGTTATTGCACCCTGACTTTACTTGAGACACATCACTGTTTTTTTTTTTTTTTTTCTCATGGATCTGTGTATGGTCTAGAACAAAAAAACATACTTTGGGCAGTAGTATATTAGGAAAATACTATGATACTAAGTAAAAAGATCTTATTCTGGTCACCTAATAATGACGCACATCTGCCGAACTTCATGTCATAAAGCAGTAATTTATTGTGATCATAGATTCTGCAGATCAGGGTTTCTAGAAGGGCTTGGCTGTACATTTCCCACTCGAAGGCTTAGGTGATTGATGCCAGATGTGGGGGCTGCAGTCATCTGAAGGCCTGGCTGAGCTGGGAGCTATACTTTCAAAGTGGCTCATTCACATGGCTGGCAAGTTGATACCAGTTGTTGACTGAGAACCTCAGTTTTTCCATGTGTAGCTGTCCACAGGGCTACTTCCATGTCGTCATGAGAGGGCTTAAGGCTTCCCCCAGTCTAGGTAATCCAAGGGAGCCAGGCAGAGTCTGCAACACTGTAGCCTTGAAACCCATAAACCATCACTAGCACTCTAGTGTGTGTCACACAGGCACAGCTGTGATTACAGGTGGGAAGGAAGCAATGAGGCCATGAAATTCAAGAGATGAGAATGACTGATGGCTCTCTCCCTTGACACAGATCCTGAAACAAAGGAAGTAAATTGCATGAAGACTTGGAAAATGCCTCAGGAAATCACGATAGAGTTCTGAATACTAGTTAGGTGTAGTGAGGTTAGGTGGCTTTGAAGCTGGCTGAATAGCCATATCCAGAGAACTGTGATTAATTGATATTACATGTGAGAGCCTCCATGGATCGATCAGAAACCTATATTATTATGTATTATTAATATTTTCATGTCTGTTTCTTGTTCTATACACTTTAATGAGTTTAAAATAAATAGATAAAAGTATACTTATCATAGTTTTGAATGAGCAAGGTAGAATAGAGGGTTGATTTACAGATAATCTATATAATCAAGATTACAGATAACCTAGGGGTGGCAATGCTGACTGGAGTTCAAATGATTAAACTTAACAGTGTTTAGAGTGAATTTAAGCATGCATTTTATAAAAATCTGGCTCCCAAAATGTAGCGTGAAGGATAGTAATGGACACACTAACTTAAGTAACGTTATTGGCCACAGCTCAGTATAAATTCAGGCTGTCACATTAACTTTAAAAACACTGATAAATTTTTAGGTTGGTTAATAAAATTAAACTACCTAGAACCGTGTGCCAATACTGCAGTCACCAGCCACATGTGTCTATTGAGGACTTGAAATGTGAGTAGTCCAAATTGAGGTAAAAATTGTACTTCCCAGATTTTGAAGACTTAATAAAAAACAGAAAAACATAATATTAATTATGTATCATATTCATGATATGTTTAAATAATATTTGGGATATACTGGGTTAAATAAAATATATTAGTAATTGATTTAACCAGTTACTCTTTATTTTCTATGAACATAGCTACTGAAAATAAGCTTACATATGCTGGGTTTGGGTTACATTTCTGTTGCTCAGTGCTGCTCGGTGGATACAGGAGGTGGATATATCAGTGTTCTAAGGGCTTATTGGAAAACACCTGGGATACTCTAGCCAATTAGAGGCTGTATAGGAGACAGTCATAATTCTCAAAGATTTAGCAATTGTGATGAAGGAATTATGTAATTGTGGAAAAGGAAAACTCTGGAAAATATGGGAAGAATAATAGATATATTCAGTATTGGAGGGCTATCACAGAGAAAAGAAGTTAGATATATTTCTAAGCATAAAACTAGGGCCCTTGATATGAAATGGTGCCAGGAAGGCAGATTTTGGCTCCACATAATGAAGCCCTCTCTTAACACTTGTTTTTTCACTAATAGAAGGCCTAGTGTTGAAGTCAGTGAGCCTTTTTCTCTAGAAATATTCAAAAGATGGGTAGATAATTGTCCATCACAGGCATTGTGCAAGGAAATCTACCATGGGTGAGTTATGTTGAAATAGTTAAATTTCACTGTTTTCCATTAATCCAAGAAGGATAACAGTTTTACTTCTGAAATACATCATACCATAAACACAGGAAAAAAGAGATGTGACTTTCCAACTAATATGTCAAGTTTGAAATGTTGCAGCTTATATGGACCTTGATTTTTCTTGCTACAAATTTCAATCAAAGCAGTAGACTTTGTTCCATGTAATCGTATCTTTTTTGAAAAGTATCAAATATGGAATAACTTTTCAGAGAACCGTAACAGTAATAATTCTTAGTAGAAACAGAAAACTTCAAGTTAAAAAAAAAAACCACAACCAGATATACACACAGAGAAGAAATTCAGAAGTAATATTTGCTAATATTTTCTAATTATACCAAGACAGCAATGTTATGATTCCTAGTTGGAGTTTATACTAATTAATTTTCAATTGTTTTCACGCTGCCTATTTTAAAAAGGAAAACAGTTAAAGGTTGTGTGTTAGTAAATTAACCAGCTCAAAGAGAGTGTATAGTGTGGGGGTCTCTAAATAGAAAGGACCTTAGTGTTTCTGAGGAAAGAAGAAATGTAGAATATAATTAGCCATGAGGTCAACACAGTTTTAAAAGACCTTGGCCAGAAAATGACCAAGGCTTTATGGTCAAAACATTTATACTTTATTTTTCACAGCAAATTTTTGTTAAGATATAAAATATAATCTACTGTACTTGAAATAGACTGAAGTATTGCATTATGATGCTTAATTCTACTTACTTAAACTTCATGATGTTTAATTAAAATTCACACACATTTTTCTTCCCTTTTCCTCTTGGGATCATTTAAGGCTAAAACTGGAACTTAATCTGTGAGGTAAATCCAACACCAAGTACAGTGTATGTGCACATTATAGTCATTTGTTTGTTTCTTTAATAATTGAATAAGTGGGGGAAACAAAGCTTGTCTATATTGGGAGAAAATATGCATTTTCTGCATCTTCCTAATTCCTTTTCAAGAGACTTGTTTCAAAATAAGAGATACCTTACAGGCTGAGGAAAAGCTAGTGGTATTTGTGTGAATTTTGATCTTCATAAAGAAACATTAAATAATCTAAGTTATTCGTGCATAATTTTGCACCTTAAACTAGTTTTGCACCTATAATTTTGCACTTAAACTTGTGAATACTGTCAGACAATGGTTTTCATCATATTTTCTTTCTGGATAAAAAAATTCTGTCCATAATATTTCAAATACAAAAACATTAGCAATTTTCAATCCAAGGATATCACTTTGTTATTATTACTTTTCTCTTCATAAAGAATAGAAGAGCACTTTTTTGCAGTTGAATTTCATTTAATATGTATGCCTGTATAGTAACACATTCTGAGGGAGAGCATTTTATTAATAATTTACATTTTCTTTGTTTGCAGATTGAATGATGCCATGAGAACAATTAATGGCATAGATGTTCATTTACTCTCCCTCATAATTTCTAAGCAAAAGCATTTTTGTATTTATTGAAGGGATGCAAAATACAGGCATCTTGTAAAAGATACTGTGAAAGGGGAAATTTTCTAAATAATGAATGTTGTTAATAGTCATGATGTTTATGTAGAATATAAATTTAAAACCTATAATTAGGTTATTGTGGATTATACCTGTATTTATTAGTTATTCACTTATAAAATGAATTGTGGTATTTGTTTTCAGAAAAATGTTCCAAATTATGGGGCAACATCCCATGCCCCAAAAAATATCCTGTTTCCTGTTATTGGAGAGTTAGGTTAATTTAAAATTTCCCACTATTATAAACAATGTTGCGATGATCATCCTTGCCCTTAAAACTGTGGCTGCATTTCTGATAAATCACTGTATCAAGTGATATTAATTTTGTAGAGGTTATTGAGGCATATTACTGCATTTCATTCCAAGAAGTTTCAAACAGCACTTCCTCTAGCTTTGTGTTTATGTGTGTTGGGGTGTGTGTATCTGTGTGTGTGTGCGAGAGAGAGAGAGAGATTTTTAAAATTTAACCTTTTATGCGTTATTAGTTTTGTGGATGAGATAATTGCATAGAAAGTTCAGATAATTTGCTAAAGATCTGCTGGATAATAACAGAGCTGGGATCAGAATCAAAGGCTCATGATATTAGCCATAACGTTAACATGATCTTTTTATGTTAAAATACTAGGTTAATTAATCATAAATTCATTCAATAACTATCCATGGAAAGCTTACTATGTAAGCTTTCTCCTGCACTATATGCCATGGATATAGCACAGAACAAAACAAATGATAATCCCTTGCATAATAGTGGGGAGAGATAAAGATAAAAGAAAATAAATAAGTAAATTACGTAGCATGTTACATGGTGGTAAGTGCTAGGGAGACTTTTATTTTACATTTTATTTCACTTTTACTTACTTTTAAGTACAGACTCACACAAATTTGCAAATGAGTATAGAGACCTTTGTATTCCTTACCCATCAGCAAAATCCCCCCAGTGGTGACATCTTGCATACAAATAGTGCATTATCAAAACCAGACAATTGACTAGCATAACATAATTCATACAATTATAGATCTTAAACCTGTTTTTGCATATGCTCATTTTCTGACATGCCTTTGTGTGTGATTCTATGACATTTTTTATTATACGTAACTACCGCTACCATCACAACTGAGATACAGAACTGCTCTGTCACCACAACGAAAATCTCTTTTGCTTCCCCTTTATACTCACATCTCTGGCTACTTATCTAATTTCTGGCAACCCGTTTTCCATTTCTATAATTTTGTCATGTTAGGAATGATATATAAACAGAATCATGAAGTATATAATTTTTTGAAATTGGCTTATTTTATATTGTCCAACATAATGCCCTTAAGTTCCATCCACATTGTTTTGTGTGCCAAGATTTTGTTCCTTTCCATTGCTGAGTAGTAGACAGTGACATGTAAAGCAAAAAGGAAGATGCCATTAAAAAGGGTGCAGTTTTCAATGCAGTGGTGAGCAAAGAGGCATTCCACAGGAAATGACACCTAAGTGTCGACCTAAGGAAGTGAAGAAAGATTCTTGTGCATATTTGTGGGAAGAGTGTCCTAGGTAAAGGGAATATCCTGAGTAAAATTTTGGAGCAGCCAGGAAGCCCTTTTGGCCTGAGCAGTGAGAGAGAGCACAAGCATTAAGAGATGACATTAAAAAAAAAAAGAGAGAGATGACATTGAGACCCATTTTAAAGCCCTGTAGACTCTACAGTTTGTGGTAACTGCAGTAACTGTATAACTATGGTGATTGTATTAGGTGACTCAAATTTCCCATGACGTTACTTCTAAACTCTGAAGAGATTGAAAGAATTATCCCTTCCCTACGTGTGTAGCAAAATGAATATTTTATAATAGAAAAATAGTTTAATTGCAATTTTATCTTTTAAAAAGATTTCCATTTTAAAAAATGGAATATAAAGAACTTTATATTCCATTTACGAAATGTTGTGTCAGTGTTGTCAAACCTTTAAGTAACTTTGGCATGAGACGGGAAGCATATATTCTATTACTTTTCATCATCCATGATTTTTACTTTGTGAAAACCTCAGTTGGGGGATGCAAAAGGAATAGAATTTACTGGAAGAACAGAGATAGCACCTCGTATGAATCAGAGGACATTGCATCACAGTTGGGGTCCTCAGCCCAGCAGAGAATATCACAGCAAACACTAAATAGACCTGCCAGAAAATTCCGGTCTTCCGGTCCATTTGGGCAGTTATGTGATCTAAGTCAAGTCTCAGTCTTTCACTCTATCAAAGAATAAAAAGGGTATAAGTCATTTTGACAGGTCTCAAAAGCATCTTAGTAAATGAACAAAGCTCAGGACATCAAAGTTGACGATGTTAATCAAAGACTGAATTGAACTGGTGCTTGGGGGACTGGCAGTCCTAATCTGATTTTCACAAACATGCCAATATCAATAAACTTGCAGGTAAACACACAGCCAAATAAATAGAAGTGCATTCATTTTTGCTAAATACTAGATATTTGATTTCTTTAATTCTGTACTATGTAATTGGAAGCTTACATTTTGGTGTTTTACATGTATTTCTAACACCGCATATAAACTCTTTAAAGGCAGACACATGCTGGGTTTTTTTTTGTCTCCCTCACATGCCTAGAATATAGAATCAGTATGTCTTCAGTCACTAGCTGTGAAAAAAATTCATTTATCTGACATCGAAAAACACAAGTCATTGCTTTTGGTTATGTGTGAATGTCGCTGTTGCTGTAAATAAATTCAGACACAGTCAATGAGCGTTAACATTTGATTGTTATTCCTTCTGCTTATAACAAAGAACTATGAGATGAAATCTAACTGCCAAGAATCAGTAGGGGAAAGTAGTCATTGTGTTAATTTCAATGCTGCGGTGTAAATTTCATTAATATTAAATGGATTTTTATTTAACAATTGTAACTTCAAAGGGGACAAAAAATTAATTACCTTAACAAATTGAAAAGTCTTCCCTTCCGCTGTACAGGTAAGGAAAATAATTAAAGAAAAAAAAAAACAATCCTGAAGAAACACTGACTCTCACATGCTTATTTTCTTCCTGAAAATGTGAGATAGTAAAAACTGAGGAATAAATTAAAATTTGCTTCTAATGTTATAAAATTTTGTCACAAAAACCATAATAAAAATGAAAATTTCTTATGATATTTGTAGAATATTCAATAATCCTTGAGAAAGTGTCAATATAGTCAGCTTTCTGGAATTACAGGTGTATGCTGTTGTTATAGTTTTAATTTCTTGTTTTTACATATAAACCTCCTGGGCTACCTTCAGCATATGTGTCCATGATTGACAGTAAAGAGTTGCTATTTCTGCAAGTCTTTTCATGCCGAGATCAATTTTCCCATTTAGTCCATATTAATTCCTAAGTATTCACATCTTACAAAATTAAGTGAGAGAGTGTAATCTCAATTGAGGCCATGGGAAATATGAGCAACCTGGTCAAGGTTTTAAACCTGTCATCATGGATTATTTTGTATTTGTCCCTGAGTTCATTCTGGCCCAAAATCTAACTGCCCATCCTACAACTACTTAGTTAAGCCTTTCCTCCCATCAAGAGTATAACTCTGGTTATAGGCTTTAAGTCTGGCTTATTTTAAGGGTCAAAGCTAAATCAGGCCACTTGAATTTAGACTGGTGTCACTCGCTGTTCTTAAGGGCAACATAACATATGGCATTCAAGCATATCCTCCTGAAAAGACTGAACTTTACCTACAGAGGGGTATAAACTGTTCCTCACTGCTGCTGGTGGTGGTGAATTGATTTCAAATGTAGGGTTGCTTATAGTTGGAGGATGTTTCCTTTTGCTTTATTTTGGTTCGTATTTTCTGTTTGTTAAATACAGAAAAGAGGCTGTTTATCCTCAGAAAGTTTTTCTTGACTGCTGCCTAAGTTGTTTTCTTTCTTCTGGGTTAAAGAAGGTTTTCTGGGATAGTTACCGAGAAATGACAGTGATTTTTATGTCAGAGGGGATGGTAGAATACCTCGATTTATTACTGAGGCCCAAAAAAGTCAAGTGACAAAAAAATCTAGGCAGCGGCAGAGTCTGACCTAGATGATATGTTTCCAAATGCTCAATAAAAGACTGTTGTTTAAAATACTCCATGTCAATGGCAAAAGGAAAAATTTTATTCTCTCCAAAAAAGTTGGTAAAAGACAGACATATATCTTGATCTCTTTCAAATACTAATTACCTTGCATTTCTTTCACATATCTACTCATTCATTTTTAAATTATTAAATATGAGGAAATGCGGTAGGTAATAGACATAAAAATAGTTACATGTAATTCCTGCCTTTCATTTGAAGAGTTCACAGTGTAGTTGGGAAAATTTGTATAAATAGAAGAATTACAGAACATTAGAGCAAGGAGCAAAGAAAAGCTCCAAAATTCCAAGAAGAAGGCATCAAAACTGTTATGAAGATTGGGTCGGAGTTTTCCAATATTTTTTTCTTTTTAAGTGGGAAGATGCCTTCAGGCATGTACAGAACAGAGCCATGAAAGGTCATAGTGTGTTTGCACAACAGTGAGAGACTTGGTGTGGTAGGAGAGTTGGGAAATAAAGTCTGGAAATCAGAAGTTTAATTCATGTATTTGCTAATTATTTTCAATCCCTGAAGTTAGCTGTGATGAAATTAAATCACAAATCCCCAAATCCTCAAGGGCTCATAAATCCTCAAATCCTCACTGGCTCACAAAGACTATATGGGATTTTTACATCAGGAAAGAGCTGCCTATTTGTTGGTTGAGAATGCTGTTTTTATATGGCACCTCCAGTCCTAATGAGTTTCACAAGATCACAGGAAGCTACAGAGTCTCTTGTGCACCCTCTGACCTAGGACTTGCAGTAAAAGTAGATGTCATGGTCCCCCCTTTATTTAATGTTTTCATCCTTGATGCTCAGGGCTTTTCCAACGCATTCTTGACCTTGCTAGTTCCGTTTCTATTTGAGAATGGACAAAAAAGGCAAGAGGAAGCTCTGAGCAACGCCTAGATTTAGGAATGACTGACCCTCTTAGACTTAAGGTCTAAATCTGCATTCGGATTTGGGAACATCTTTTTGGTTTTCCACATCTACAAGACAATGACACTGATGAGTTCCATTCTCTCCCTTTCCAATTGGCCACTAAAACATCTATCAAAGGTAGAACAGCCACTACCTACTTGATCAGCTTCCAGCCAGATGAAATGTCTTTTGTTGACACTGAAATAACTGAATTATTTATCAAGCTCTGTTCTAACCCAAAATTACGTATGTATACGTAAGTGTATATACATCTACATATATATGTACTTTTTCCTTATGCATATTCTGCAGTTGTATTTGCCAGTTGTCCTCAATCTGGAGAAATCAAAACCTATAGCTAATCAATGGGTTCCTTTACAATGGGATAGAAAATGTATTTTCTTTCTTTTCCATTCATTTAGGTTTCTCTGTATTATATCTACCAATTTTTCTCAACAATTTTATTCCTCATTTATTTTCATGCTGATAATGATAACTAAGAGGATTTTCTACTCTCTTTGGAATGAGTTAGATAATCATGGTCCTGATAAAATATAGGTGTTAGGGTAGGATAAAAAGGAAGACATTGATAATTAAACTTATCAAAGACCAGCAATATCACATGCACTCAGCTTCTTTCTTTGCAGATAGTCAAGAGCTTAGGGAGTGTTATTTGAGGAACTAAAGGTGTAAATTCTGGGAAGACTCATCAAAGTTGGATGATATGGTGGACAGCATGAAAATGTCAGGTACCTTGGGAAAACAGACATTTTCCCTGTTTCACTATTGTGAGACAGGTCTTTCCAGCTCCTCCCATTCTTGATGCAGAATTGCTGCTCTATCACATATAAAAATGCAATTTAATTCAAATGCTAATTATTGGGTACCTACTAATAGAATTAACATCCGCTGAGCCTGACAAGAAATGATATGGAATCCTTAGAAGCTATGAGCCTGGCCTTTGAAAAGTTTATAACTGATATTTTTTTCCTTGACTTATTTTTAGTTGTGCGTATTCCTCTTTATCCCTGACATGAAATGTCACCTAGTATCCATTTCCATCCCAGTATTGCCCTACAGAAAACTCTGGGCTCTAAGCAAGACATGAATGATAACTTAAAATTCCCAGCGAGGTCATTCTTCATCTTTCACTTTGCTAAATAATTGTGGAACAGTATTTTAAAAGCTATCTGGCAATAACATATAAAGTAGCTTTAGAATGATGCTTTTGCAGTCACAGCACTAAAACCTTTTTTTATGAAAACTTCAAGATTTGTGCAAAAGTCACTTTGTAAATGAGAGTATTTAAGACTTCCGTGATACGATGGCAGCTTCTATTAAAACGAAAACAAAATGCTTTATCTCATTTTGCAATTTTAAAGTTTGTTTCATAGCTCCATATCAGATACACTTTTCTTAAAATGGCTTATAGGCCAGGCACAGTGGCTCACGCCTGTAATCCCAGCACTTTGGGACACTAAGGCAGGTGAACTCTTGGGCTCAGGTGTTCAACACCTGCCTGGGCAACATGGTGAAACCCCGCCTCTACAAAAGAATTAGCTGGGCATTGTGGTATGTTCCTGTAGTCCCAGCTACTGGGGTGGCTGAAGTGGGTGGATCACCTGAGCCTGGAGGTCCAGGCTACAATAAACTGTGATTACGCCACTGAACTCCAGCCTAGGCAACAGAGTGAGATCCTATCTCCAAAAAAAAAAAAAAAAAGACATAAATAATTTCATTAAGGCAAATGACAGAAGAGCTTGCATATTTTCTATTTCTTTACATGTAAGATGAGCACTTATCTAACAGTCTTAAGTAGAGTTGGCATCTTTCCTTAAGTTAGATCAAAATCGATTTTGTTTGTGTTTAGATATTCAAATGCATTTTGCTTAATAACCCAATTAGACTTGAAAATAGTGCTAGAATAAGTATGTGATTTTAACTTTTGCACAATAAAACCTTGATTAGCTAGAAGAAAACTAACAAGAAATATCAATTAACCAGAAGGAACAAAATTATAAGGCAAGCTCAAAAGAATCTAGAATTTAGAAAGCCGTATAGAAAATGTGGAAGAAATTATGTGCTGAAGGTTATAAGCAAACATCTAATCTGATTCCTCTGTTTTTTATGGTTACATAATCACTGTTTAGATATTTAAATCTTCTGGGATCATTTAAGCGAGTTTTCTCCTATGCATTAGATCCTTCTTACCAACCAGAAAAGTGGAATAAAATTATGACAGTATCATCAACAAAGACTGAAAGAAAAGTTTCTGATGATTATTCAAGTAACTCGAGTCCAGCAGAACCTCTAATTTTCCTGGCATTATGCTAAAAATACATGCATGGAGGAGGTGATAGTATTAAAGACGAGTTTCCCAGGCAGACAGTTTAGGACACAGAAGTACAGACAAGGCCTCGGCACACACAGGAGTATTCTACAAATATCAGTATAGAAAGTCAGTGATGCAATGAGGAGCTTGTATAATAGGCTTTAGCTATATTATCAACAGATTTCAAGACCCATTATTACTTCAAACAATAAAGACTCAGAAAAAGATACAGTTCCTTGCCTCCATGAATTTACCATCTAATGATGGATGAGGAAGGAGTTCAGTAATTAGACACATAAAACAGCCGTTGATAAACATCATAATGATGTTTGATATGTCCATGATATAAACACATGTGAAATTTGAGACAGCTGTATATTCATTTGAAAATAGCATTCGCCTCCATCTCAAATACAAATAGTCTTGCTTGATTCTGTGGAAATGTGGCAGTGGCATCATGTGACAAAGTTTAAATATCTGTGTAATTATCCTCTTCTCTCACCAAAATGTAATGTTCTCTTGATTCTTCTATTTCTCTTAAAGGTACTACTACCTATCTAACAAAGCTTGAAGCCCCGGTTATCTTTGTAGCACCATCACCATCACTTACCCAATTTTGTTTTGATATCAAGGAACCCAGCTAATGGTTCCACTGCAAATACTTAATCAGGCCTCTTAGTTCCCTCCTTTGCTATGATTCCAGAAGCCATGTCTCTATTACTGCCAGGTACATTCTATGAAATAATGGCTTTGTTGTTTGGATACATTGACTTGCTGAAAATCTTAAATGGTCCAGTGCCTTCTGTTAAATAATGTACAAACTAGTTACCCTGATATCAAAGTCTATACGGTAGGCCTGGAGCTGCCTTTCTGACATTATTTTCTATATCTGTGCTGTGTTTCCTTTCTACCCCAACTGTGTGTGATCAGTCTTCTCCCAGTCCAACACCCTTTGTCCTTTCTTGTGAGGTTAACTGCACTCACTCACAGATGTTCCTTCCTTGATCTCCGTCCCTTTCTATCCAACTTTTTCTATCCTTCAATGTTTAGTCCAAAGATCTTATCATTCATGCATTCTTTCCCTATTCTCTCATTTCAAGATGACTGTTTCTGTCACTGCACTCTTTTACCACTCCTTTGGTTTATTATAAATATTGGTCTGTTCATTCCATTTCCACACCACCACACTAGTTAGAATCTCTATCTTTATTCACCGGGATTGCTACAATAGACTCCTATTTGATCTCTATAGCCAATGTATCTTACTTCCTCTCTAGTCCATTCTCTGCATAGAAACCAGAATAACTTGTTTAAAAACACAAACCAGTCACTGGCTTAAAATCAATCATTGACACCACATTTAGAATAAGGTCTCAATCCCTTAAAGCTCTACAATGATATGCAAGCTCTGGCTTGTCTCCCTCTCTAGTTTTGTCTTTATCCACCGTCCATGCTCCAGGAACATTTGATGGAATGCATTTTTGAGTGTATTTTATGCCTTCTTACCCAACCTTCACACATACCATTCTCCCAACTGCAATGCCCTTTTTCCCACATCACACACATTCCTGAGCCAAGTCACTGTGATGATGTGATTCTGCTTCTCAGAATATACAAATCAACTCCATCTATGCAGCTCAGGTAGAATTAATTCCACTCAAATCATTTGAGTCATACAAAAAGGGGGAGAGACAGCTTCCTAAAGGGAAGTCCAAATGCTATAAGAAAATGAAAGAATAAATGCTAGTCAGGCAAGAGTGAAAATCCACTACGGTCAGTAATGGCTCTTATAAAAATACATAGTTATAGAATCTTTAATATGCATGTGAAGTATCATGAATTACATAGTGAAATATGCATGAAAAATGAAGAAAACTCATCATTGTACATGGCATGCGTATCATCCAATGGCTAATGTAGCTGAGTTTTTTTTGTCAAGTTAGAAATTTTCATTCTCATACCAATCCCTGTAACATTGCTATTGTCATTGCATCTCTGAAACATGTTTTCAGAATGACAGCTATAATGAAATATCTGATGCTTACAAAATGTGCTCAAAACCATGTTCATGGGAATATGCATAGCACATTATTTAAACAGATGAAGTCTCCAGTGCACCTCACAACCCAGAAATATCCCCTTCATTTTCTAACTACTTTTTCATGCAGAAACTGACCCTCGTTCTTAGTTTTTGCATGAAATTTACAGTAGCCATCTGCTTAGGCTGTGACCTATTTTCTTTCTCAACTTTTCTGTTAAAGAGAATCAACTATAACGCTTATTTAAAGGAATGTGAATAAGCTAAATATGGGGTTGCAGCTGGTTCAGACTCTCTATTGAAATTCTCATGGCCTGGTATAATTTAAGATCTATTTATGTAATTGCTGTGAAGTCGGAGAAACAATCAAAGAAAGCTGTGTGTTACATCATTTTGCCAAAAGAGATATTGTGTTTGTCTCCTTGTTTAAAGAACTGAACTCCGTAGTAGTAATCTGGCCCATCCACAGATGTGCTTAGGTTTACCCTCACAATGTTAATGCAAATAATGACTAAAACATTCAAAATATAATTTATTGTCAATATTTAAAAATTGGGGAATTTTATATTCAAAATCATATTCCTTTTTTTTCTCTTGAAAAATTGGAAGATCTGGCAATATTGGCATATGGAGACATTTTCCCATGGTAACCATTGGTTCACTCTCACAGATGGGGCATTCTCTCTTCAGGTAACCTTAGCACTCACAATTTTTAATAGTTTATTCTTGCAGACTTCACTTGCTTGTAGTACCTGTCAAGCTTTTGTAGACATTTCAGATTGTAATAATTGCTTGTCACAATGGGATCCTCTCAAACAAAAGATTTGGCCAAAATGAATAGTATAAGGAGTACATTGTGCAATATAATTTTAAAATTAAGAACAAATTGCTCTTGTGGGCTTGGCTATGGCTATGATATGGGTAGCAAGAACTTCCCAAGACTGGGCTGTAGTTAAGGCTCTGGGTGTGGCAGTGACCATGGGTCAAGCTATGGCTGTGGATACAGCTGTGGCTATGGATTCTCTCTCCAATGACCATCAAATTCTCAAAGCTGTTGATCATTTTGCTGCTAATTTTTGACTTTCAAACTTTTCATGCCTCTCCCTAGTATTCCATGATGAATTTCAAGATGCTCATGTTGATTTTTCTTACATTTCTCTTTATTCCTTATGGACAGTGAAAGATAACATGACATTCCAGTTTGATCTTCTGCCTCTTGGGCAGTTTCCAATATTTTGGTACAATCGACATTTAAGCATTTGCTCATATACTGTCAAACTATGGGAATCCAATGTATCTATTTGTATATATATTTTATTTATCATACTTCCTAATGAAATGTATTTACATTTATTTTTAAAAAAGGACAAATCACTCAAGTTACAACCTACAACAACTAGAAATCTTTTCAGCTACAAGTACAAGAAAACTCAAACACAGTTGGTTAAAAAAAGCTAGTTATTAATTTCAAATTATATCTATTAAGTAGGCAGCTAATTTCATTTGTTCTGTGGCTCTACAATAGCAGCCACTGCGTTTCTAATTGCCCTTAATCTTTCACTGATGCCTGTGACCTTGCTGTAAGTTGGCTACCATAGTTCCAGGTGTGCCACACCTATTCCAAGCAAAAGAGTAGATTGAATTAAACGGCAAAGGGTTGCATTAGTTTTGTTTGCACCCTTTTTATCAATGAAACAAAGTATTTCCATGAAGTACTACCTAGGTGACTTTAATTAAAGTAAATCCCTGTCCAAGAGGAATGAGATTATAATGATTCATTTAAAACAATCATAATTTATCCCCTTGGAATAACACAGCATTTGTCCTCTCTGAGATTAAGTTATCTCCCAGAGTTTTCTTAGCATAGAATCTGGGAAGGAGGTGAAGACATTTGTGTAGGCAAAGGACAAAGTCTGTCACACAAGCGTCTATGCTCCCATTTACTTTCAAGCAATTTTACTCTGAATTTTGTCTTGTACTTCATGAAGGCTCCTTCCAGAATAATTATTGCCTCACACGGAATTATTATCAAACCAATCAATATTTCTGATAAATGAGGCTGCTGAGCTGTTCATTCTGTAGGTTTTATTCATCTCCCCTTTTATCTTGGATTGCAGTCTACCTTGGCATGTGATAGGTATTTTGAAGGAGGTGGAAGATGTTTCTCAGACGAAATTATTTTAGGATGTGATAAAACAGGGGCAAATTTTTAATAATTTTTAAATGTGTTTTTGTTGACATAAAGAGCACAATGCAATATGTATTATCAATAAATATTCATCAATATTCATCAATAAATTAAATATTTATTAATGAAAAACCTTACTCAGAAACCTCAAGATCATGATTTAGGCTGGGATAGCATTAAACATGTATTAACCAGAGACATAAGGCAGGGAAGACCAAATATCTCAATAATCTCTTCCATTGCTTTAAGTTATTCTTCATTCTTTGATTTTAGACAAGAAAATATTACACAATTTATGCAAAAGTTACACTTTAAATTCCTAGATTTTGAGGTCTTAAGTTTGAAACTAGGTTTATTCAGCTGTGGTGACTCAAAAGAAGATAAGAGAGTGGAGGACTCAGACAAAAACGTCCCTGTAGTTGTCATCGCCTAGCCTGAGAAATGATTGGATTTAAAAGGAATTTACTATGCTGAAAGCAACTCAGATTAATTTAATGTGACCATTTCAATGTACACTCTTGCATTATTCATGTACTATCTAGATATTATTATTTTTTATGCAAGTCTACAGTCATTTGACTTTCAAAGTATATCCTGTAGATATCCTAGACCTGATACACTTGGTATAAATTATGGAATTACACCATAACATTACCATAAATCTTTATATTCAAATGCAGATTGTGTCTTTCTCCATAGCTATTCTTCTTGCTCATCTAAATAATATGAAGCCAATGTAAATTAGATTCATAAATGAAAATTATCACTATTTTCAGGATTAAGAAGTATATTAACATATATTAATAAGCTGTTTTCAAATCTGTCATTTCATACATTATAGTTTTTCTCAAAAAATGTGAAACTTTTTTATTTGAACCTTGAATGAATAAATATAATGATATATTAAATTAGCATAAAATATTCTGATTATTGAGTATAATACGTTTTCATGGTCTTCCTACAAGAAGAAAAAAGGATCCTAATTAGATCAGGACATTGATTAAATGCATTAGTGAGTAAACTGAAGCTAGTATTTACTGAACAAATGGCATATTATACTTTATCTGCACTATGATCTTTGTAGCAAAATAATCTATTGATTGTTTTATATAGACCACACCACAACCATGATTTGGATTCATGGCTGTACTGGGAAGATGCTTATATAGATGTTTCTTTTGGCACTCAAAATTATGCTGAGGGTTTTTTTTTTCTTAAATGATTTCCTTAGATAATTCTTATTATACTATTCAAACAACTTTCAAAATAAGTCACTGAATTATTTAAACTGAATTATTCAATGTTTCAGGTGAAGTGAATACTGGAGAGGGCCAGATTCAGGTTAGCTTCTAAGCTCCGACACCTATCTCTCTCTCTCTCTTTCACACACACACACACACACACACACACACACACACACACACCAAATTAACACCTTTCTCCAGGCCCATAATCACTGAAAAACCCTATCTTGCTTTAATACCAGTGATTACTAAAGTGTCTACTCCCAAAACTACTATGTGTTCTACCTAGAATTTTGACCCTACATTTTACAAGTTTCAGGCAGTTAAAATTGGTCATAATTGCTGAAATTATGTCACATGTGAAAAAATGGGATGCAAATCACAGATGTGTCCTTATACCTGTTTACTGTAAGGACAGCAAGCAGAGACAAGAGATAGAGACAAGAGAATCAAGTTTCTATTTTTAGTTCCATTGTCACTGTCCCCCACCAAGACATCCATTTATCATTTCTGAGGACACCAGCAGCAATGTTATTCCTGGGTTTACAAGTACATCTGAAGACTAAGAATTTGTTCTTGGGCAACATCACTTTGACCACCTACTGATTTGGGGTAGATGCACTAAATAAATCAAATGCATTCATTAAATCAAATAAATCATTAAATATATTGATTATAGTAGCCCCAGTCTATGCTGTGTTCACAAATCCATGCTGGTATTTCAGGAGATTTACATAATCTCATACCCCAAAGGTAACAATTATTAATGGTTGCTCAGGAATCCTTCCGAAAACATCTTTCTTCTTAAGCACACATACACCAACACACATAAGTCTTTTAAAAATACAAAAGGTCTGTATACTCTGTTCTGTTCTGCAGGCAGTCTTAATAATTTTCATGTAATATCTTTCCATGACAAAACACAAGTACAGGGCTCTTCTTTTTCATCATATCACTAAAAATATACATTTCCTTGGTTTATATTGTAGTCTCTTCCCCTTGTGCAACCTCTGCCTGTTTTACTGAACAAATCACTCCTGACACATTGGGTTGAGTTATCTGCTGATGTCCTTTCCCATAAATGTTCCCTTCTAATACAGGGGCAGCTCTAAATCTTAAGCTCCTGTTGAGTACTGGGAGAAAATATCTAACTTCTGCATTAATATCTAGGTTTTCACACCTCTAAACTAGAAAGGACATGACTATAGCCTGATGTCAGGATCTCATTACTTTTCTTCTCTTACTTTGGTATCTGATGTTCCAAATGGATATTGATGGGGAAATTTATTTCCAATTTAAGAATCAAGAGCAAAAATTCATCTTCTAGAATATATTATTTCCTATTTTATATGCTCTTTCCTGGAAACTTAGAACATGTGTAGAGGAGGAAAAACTTTCCTCTGCCCTCTTACGTTTGGAGCTGTGGCATGTGAATTAAAGCATACAAATTGTATTAATGTTTTTAATTTTACATGCATTGGAACCACACAGAAAAGAAGTGAAAAACCTAACGGAGTTATTAGACTCAGGGGCTTATATACTACTTTAACAAAGGATTATATATTTCGGAAAATGACTAGGAAATATATGGGAAAACTACGATGAGAAGAGTTATTTAGTAAGGTTTGTTTATGCAGACTCATCTCTCAGTACTATCTTTATTTCCCGTAACGAGGGTTTTTGTCTTCCTGAGATGGGAGAAGGGAACATTTCCACAAGGAAAACTAATGTGATACTTGTAGTCAGAAAGTGGGAGGGCAGAGAGCTCTTACTGTTTCTGATTTCTCTCAATTACCTTCAGTTATAAAAAATCATTTTCCAAAGTGGTATATTTTGGTGTGGCATATTTGGTCCCTTCATATGATTATGTTCCTTTTTTCTATCTAAAGATGGTATCCCCTAAGTACATCCTTGACCTTTTTTACCTTCTTATATTAGCACTTGAGGAAATACCAAAAATAATAAATCGTATAACCTATTACTGATGAAATGTGTATGTTTCTTTTTGTCATGTATGTGTGGTGGAGGAGGTGCATAGAGGATATTTCTCTGTAACTTCTAGCTTCTTTATTGGCAAGCAAATAGATTGGCAAGCAAATAGATTTATTTCTGTGTGTGTTTTCAAGTCATTGTGATTAGCATGGACTACCTTTGAAATAGCCATTTGAGGGTCCCCAGAGTCTATAATTTTTGAAATAGGAAAATTTCAGGATATTAGTATTTTTCTGAGTTTAAAAGCATAACCTAAAGTTAACTTGTAGGCTTTTTCTTTCTAATGCTTTTTACTGAGTGGTAAAGATGAGCAACCTTTTTTTTGTTTAATAGCCAGATACTTTTTATACTCCGAATACAAATATTGAAAAAAATGAAAGGAAAACCCCCTAGATCAAACTTGGTCAATCCATGGCCTCTGGGCTGTATGTGGCCCAGGATGACTTTGAATGCAGCCCAACACAAATTCATAAACTTTCTTAAAACGTTGTGAGATTTTTTTTTGGCAGGTTTTTTTTTTTTTTTTTTCTCATCAGCTATCGTTAGTGTTAGTGTATTTTATGTGTGGCCCAAGGCAATTCTTCTTCCAATGTGGCCAAGGAAAGTGAAAATATTGGACATCCCTGGCCTAGATTGTGAGAAAAGAGATCCCATTACATTTATGAATGGGCTGTGCTGAAAATTGACAGCAACATCAGAATCCTAATTGTGTGCCAGCAGAAACAGTGCTATTAGATTTTCTCTGTGCTTAGCAAAGGATTTAGTTAGGGCATTCACTTTCAAGCACCCGTTCTATGCATTACACACTCTCATACTGTCTTAACCAATAACTATTTCTATAAGGACATTCTGGTGAAATTAGTGTGTCCAATAATTTAAACTAAAATGGTGACATCTAATATTTTCTCCTCCAAGGTAACGTCAGCATTTCAGAGCACTTTCACTATCTGAAAACGGCCAAAAACTGATAGAAGAGCTTTCTGTTTACAACTTTATACACCATAGTAAAGTTCTAGGATGCAAAGCTTGCACAGCTTTGTAACATAAGCATTTTATGCCAAATTAGGTGAGGATAATAAGATATTGTGACATTTGCCCAAAGTCACGGAACAGTACAAAACTCAAGATTTGAACAATAATTTTTCTGACTACAAGAATCATTCCATTTCTGCTGGCTAAATCAACAATGAAATACAATAGTTTTGCATTGCGACTTAGAGGTACCCCATGTATTCCACTAAAATAATTTGTATTTTGTTAGAAATTAAAATATAACCACATGAAATATGTCTGTGGGTGTCTCTCTCTCCCTCTCTCTCTCTGTACATACTGAATTTCTAGGTGTAATAAAATGCGGTCAGAAAGAGTTCCTGCGGTACCACATTATTTTTTTCTTTTTGCAACATGACACTACACTACTTCTAAGGGCTAACAAATTTTAAAACTTTCAAAAAACATGATGAGAAAATTGATGAAAGCCTACCATATAGAAGCAAGAAGGAGGTTTGAAGTGCCTTTCAAAACAGATTACCAGTCTGTCATTTTGACACCACGTAAGATGGCCGTAGAATTATCCATCATCGAGAGTTTCTTCATCAAGAACCCTACCCTCCATCTGTATAGAGCTTGCAAACTAAAGCACTGCCTTGTTCAGAGTCTTTTCTATTGCCTTAACCCTGTCTTCTTGTGACTGCCTTTCTAAATTCCACATGAAAGTCCCTTTCTCAAGGTATAATTTTATGTAAACTTTTGAGCTGACTTTAAGATTTGTGGGCATATTGTGGAAATACTCAGACATACCCAGCACATTTTTCCAGATGTTCCAGGTGTTCCAGAGGTCACAGCTCCATCATGGATTACAAGGCTTTTGGTAAAGAAAGATGGATCAAGGTTAGAGAGTAAAAAAAGAAAGGCCTACTCCTATTTGTCACTTCCTGTGAAATGCAGAGGCTCCTACCTAGGAAGACATTTTTCAGGTGCTGAGAGGACTCTTGGGATTTTATTTATTGTGAAAGTTTCATTTATTTTGAAGTATCATTCTAAAAACAAGATTAATGCTCAAAATGGATAATCAACATTATCTGGTACAAAACACATGGACTTACATGTTAAAGGTGTTGTTCTTTCCTTATCATCTCTGGGAACTTGGACAAGTCAGGTAACGATGTATATATTTTATAAGACAATATATTGTATACATTACATGTACATTTGTGTGTGTGTTTATGTGTGTTCTCTGAGAAGCAGACCCAAAATGGTACTTGTCCTATTTCACCCTGAAAACAACTCCCAGGAGACACATGGCCTCAGCATGAACCTGGCAGTGGATTCAGAGGGGCAGCTGGATCCACCATGCAACTATTGGTCAGCCGCTCTCCATAACAGGATCTCTTGAAGGAGATCTAAGTAATGCTTTTCCATGTGCCATAGTGTATGAAATAGAAGATCTGCACATAATTTAGAACTATGAGAGAAGGTAGCTCTGTACATTGCAAGGACTCCTGAAGATCTCATTCAATGCCGTCATTGAACAATGGCACGAGCAGTTATTAATGAAAACCATTGGTCAGAGACTTTAAAACTTCAGGGTACCCAAGAGTACATTTCAGCGTTTGCTAAAATGCTATTACCAATCTCAGGAATTAGGATTTAATGAATAAGTAATGAGGATGAATTTTAACAAGCAATCAGGGGCATCCTGAACTGGGTGGTCTCTATACCACAGTCTGAAAAGTACTGACCTTCCTAAGCGATGTAGAACATACAAAACTGTACTCATTATAGTATATTCTACTTAAGTGGATTATGTATGTCAGGTTTTCATACTAAAAAAAAATTACTCTGGGGAATTAAGAGTTATTTTCATTTATTCAGAAAATCATATATAGTCTATGATATTATACAACTGAGGCATCAACAAATAGGTAATTTTTATGAAAGTTCAGAAAGGCAGTAGGGACTTGTAGGCATTTGGAGGGCTTCATTTTCCCATGTCAATTGGTATCTCTCTGTTACAGTAGGTGCCATTATCTACTTTAATTGTAATGAATCACTGGGGGAATTGTATTTGTGAATGACAGGTACTTTCTTATGCAAATGAATTGCCCGCAGTGAGCTAGTTTAGTTGATCAAGCTTTCCAGGTCAAGTAGGGCATTTCCCAGATATGATAAATAAATATCTTGGGAGCTAAAGAGGAAATCATTACAGCATATCATTCTATCTGAATTTCAAAAAGTATTTTTATATTTAATTTGTTCCCCAAATACTTTCCAGATTGACTATATATACTATTTCTTGAAATATTCACTACATTACTGAACACTATCATTTTTGTGTCATTCAGCCTCACAGAAATGTTACCCAAATGGGATGAGTGCTCCAGTGAAAATATGAAAGCCATATGAAAGGCAGGTTCAGTATAAATGCAAATTGCTTTATCAGAAACATTGTGAAATCCTCCAAAAGGTACTAATTTAAAGTTAGTAGAACACTTTTAAAGTGGCTTTTAATGTCAATATCCCTGTAATTGTCAGTATCCTGAAAATAGTAATTATGACAGAATTATAATTTAACAACAGTAGCTTTCTTAGTTTGATATATTTGAGTGACCTAATTAAAGTCATTCTTAATTGTTTTACCGTTTGATTTCTATGTTACAAACTTGAATGAGAGACTGCTTTCTTGGTGCTTAGTTAATCTAGGATAATATTAATAATATTAAAATAATAGAATAGAACATTAGACTTCAGTTTTGTTTCTATTAATAATCAAAGTTATTAGTTTGTGGTTTGTATTTTTGTTTTCATAACTGTGTGAATCATACATTTATTTTCCAAATTATGTGCAACCTGATTGAGGACCCCTTTTAACTTTACAGCCAAAGTACCCAGATGGCATTCTGAAGTATATCTTACAAATAACAAGGTCAAATAAGGAGGATGCACAGGCCATTTGACAGATATAATTTGTTAAAACTTTATGTTTTTGTGGAAAACCTTATAGGAAATAATTTCTAATGTTCTAATGTAAGCTTATGTTAGATACTCTGTTAGACATTGTCTACCAAGCTTCCATGGTTTTAGAATCCTGATTTTACTCTAACTGTGGGTACTTACATATGAATCTACAGAGAAAAGTCCTTTCTCCTGTGTGAACTAGTAGGGACCAACGACTTTAAATTCTCTCTCTAAGACTTGAGGTCGCCGTTCAAAGAACTAACTGCTGTCAAAGAGCCCACAGTGTGTTCATTACTTTTTTAAGATACGACAACTTTGGGAGGCTGAGGCGGGTGGATCACGAGGTCAAAAGATCGAGACCATCCTGGCTAACACGGTGAAACCCCGTCTCTACTAATAATACAAAAAAATTAGCCAGGTGTGGTGGCTGGTGCCTGTAGTCCCAGCTACTCGGGAGGCTGAGGCAGGAGAATGGCGTGAACCCGGGAGGCAGAGCTTGCAGTGAGCCGAGGTGGTGCCACTGCACTCCAGCCTGGGCGACAGAGCAAGACTCCTTCTCAAAAAAAAAAAAAAAAAAAAAAAAAAAAAAAAAATATATATATATATATATATATATATATATATATATATATATACGACAAGCTACTGATTTAAGGGCAAGGAGGAGACGGGGGAAGTATATTTACAATCTTCAAAAATTATCTTGTGGATACTGAATACCTAAAAAGAAAAGCTCACAGTGATCTATTCCCCCCACCCCCGACCTCCCACCTAGGTAGTTTGGTAGTTTCTGCTGAGATCAGAAATTTTTTTTTTATTCTGAGACAGGGTCTCCTTCTCTTGCCCAGGCTGGAGTGCAGTGGCACTATCATGGCTCACAACAGCCACAACCTCCAGGGCTCAAGCTAGCAAAGTGATACTGTTAGCATTCAAAACAAAGAACAAATTAGTAATGGGTGTTTTAATATTAAACTCATCTTACTGTGGTCATTATGACCATTAACTCTTCCGTACGAAAGTATTTTGAAGTGAATCATCAGGGACTCTGAGTCAGTGGTCTTGTCTTGATGTCTCACAACATGGGTGCCTCTATTTATTTAGACATCTATCTTCACCACTCACTTTCAAGTGAAAGTGAAAGAGCAGGTCATCAAATTTCAGTATTCTGTTATTTTTTGCAGTCGGGAGCCGTATGGAAGCTAGCCCATTACCTAAATTGAGATGATAGAATTTGCCTATTGAAATCTCAAGGACTGGCCAGGTGCAGTGGCTCACGCCTGTAATCCCAGCACTTTGGGAGGCCAAGGCGGGTGGATTGTCTGAGCTCAGGAGTTCGAGACCAGCCTGGGCAACACAGTGAAACCCCGTCTCTACTGAAATACAAAACAAAACAAAAAATTAGCCGGGCTTGGTGGCACGCACCTGTAATCCCAGCTACTCGGGAGGCTGAGACAGGAGAATTGCTTGAACCCAGGAGGTGGAGGTGGCAGTGAACTGAGATCACACCACTGCACTCCAGCCTGGGTGGCAGAGCAAGACTCCATCACAAAAAAAAAAAAAAAAAAAAAAAAAAGGAATCTCAAGGATTGAAAGACTGACCCATTGCGGTGTTATCACGTCCAAAAAAAGTAGGCATATTCACATACTGTTTTGAGAGAATTAGGAAAATTTTATGAGAAAGTTATTTGGAAAACATACAAAATTAAATGTATTTTTCCACTCATTTTCAAAATGTACTTTAGCACAAGAGGCCTGGTGCATAGTATATATGAGAAGTATTTAAATGAAGGGATACATTTTGTATGATTTTTCTTACAAATTCATTAAAGTATTTCAAGTAATATAGAATAATTATTTAACCAGTGTTGCAATGGCTATTAATTTTCCTTATGGAAGGAAAATAGACAAAGACGTATTATTGATTTTCTTCTTAATCTTTTTAAGTTTTTTTAAATAAATTGGAAAAATACAAGTTTATATGTAGATTTACTTATATTTGGGGGTTTAAATAAATGTTCTGCATCGCTTTGCCGCTTCTCAACTTGCCCCAAAGCAAAACGAACACTTCCATGGTGTCTCTTGGAACTCCTCTCCTTTCATCTCCCAAACTGTCCTATATCTTTGAAGTCGTTTCTGAATATATGCCTCATCTCCTTCCTTTCTGTGAAATCTGACAGTTTGTCAAAAACACAACCCTGGTAGCCTTTTATAGGTGATGACAATGTTTTATTCCATTTCCCACATGTTATAGAGCCAGTATATAAAGTAGGTGCTTTACTTGTTCCTCATTGCTACTTCAAAGTCATATCTCACCTTTTCTGCTTCAAAAACCCAGAATGTTTGAAGCTCAAAGTCATCGGGCTGTACAAATCCTTCCCCCTTTTCATTGTTATAACCCACTGACATTTGTCATTCTCTGCCATTCATTTAAGGCTGTAGATTCTGGCTCGCTCTTTCTCTTCATCTCTACCTCTGCCTCTATTCTAGTCACCTTCCAAATCCACGTGGCCTTAAAACCACAGGCTTTCAATCCCTTGTCTTACTTGTCTCCAATATATTTTCCTTCACCCTAACTCAGATGATCATTTAAAGGTTGAGACCATATGCTTTTTCATCACTCTTATCAGCATCCCCCTAAGATCAATCATGATTCCAAAAGTTCCACACTCATTTTTTCTGTCTCCTGATCCATGGTTAAAACAACCTCACATTTGTCAATTGTTTTTATCTCTTTTTACCCTCTATCATCTCCTCCTATTATAATAAACATAGATTACCAGTCCAAAATTATAATCACTTTCTTGCAAACAACCTTAACTATTTTACCTTTGTCTTTTTGAATCATGCTTATCTATCAAATCTGGGTTTTATTCAGTCATTTGCTTATTTTTATCTAAAACATAATCTCCCCAAAGGTACACTTATATTACTGAAAAACACTATTTCAGTTTCCTACTCTGCATGATTATTTTATATCTTCTATTGTCTACATAAGTTTAAGTTGGCTTTATCAAAAGCCTTTCTGATCTCCATAGCCAAGGAAGTTCCATAGCTATTGATTTCAACTCATTGGTACTGGGTGATCACAGGGAATCTCAGTGATCAGAGATTAGGTAATAATATCTTCCCGGTCAGGAAAGTTTGAAGCCAGTTGGCTATCTTTCTTTCTATATGACAGTTATTCATACACGAAGGTGTGAAATTTTCAACTACCTTTCCTGGAATATAATTCATGGGTATGTATCAGTAACAATGTATGTCTCCTTTTATGAACATCATGGGCAAAGTATGAAAACAAAACAATCACCTCTTAAACGTGTCAATCAGTTACCATAGCCAAGTGCACTGTGACATTATGATTGTTTCAGAGCGGGGAGCATTTGCTGTGCATCATTTTATCCTGAATGTTTTTCCTAACCCTGACTCATGGTAGTCGTCCTCAATATGTATTTATTTGAAATGTATGTTTTATTTTCCTGTTAGATCTCGTAAATATCAGACTTCCGAGGACATAAATCTGTTAAAGCCTTGTCTCATGTTTATTGTTTTTGTGTATCTCTTAAGGAAATGATATTTTGTTTTTATATTTTCTGATCCGAAAAGAGCAAAAGCCCCTGCACTCGAGAGAGCTGTTACAATCAAATGAGAAAATGGAAAGGCAAATAAAGAAGATGTGATTCCCTACAGCTGTGAACAGTGATGTGGAAAATATAGTGGCTTTTAGGTAATATAGGGATTCACATCCTGTCTCTACCACTTACTGCTTGTGTAGCATTGTAAAAACAACACTAAATCTCTCTCAGATAATTAAGACACGGAATCTGAAACACAGTGGGCACTTGATACATGTTATCCCTTTTTATACTCCTACCTCTTCGTAAGGAAATATTTCTGAGACAGAATAAAGTTCAGAATCAAAGTAACAAGATGCTTAAGCCATTTTGACAGAAAATAGCAAATATGTGGAAAACATAACAAAATATCAAACACTTATATAGGTTAAGGGGGATGTGCCCAAGAGCTGGAAGAAGAGAGATTTTCTCTATAAATGATTCAGCTAAGAAATTATAGAATGATAATATGAAGCTATTCATCTGTATTCAAATTTTTATCTAAATGCCTAAGATTGACATGCAATATATGTTTGCTCTTAACCATTTGTAGGACCTTGATAACATTTAAAAATAGGTTTACATTCATTCATTTCACTCTCCACCACATTCTCTTTTTGAATCTCTCTCTCTGTGCCCCCTTCTGGAAGCCTCTTTTAATTACTTTTACAGAGTGGAAATTGTATTTGTTAAAATATGCCAGCCCTCGATATTCAAATAAACATATTCCAATTATGGAAAAATGTGAGATGGAATATATTTAATAAAATGAGGTCTCTAATTATTTTTTCACTGAAATTTGATCATGTCTTTTTTTTTTTTTTTTGGTCTTAGTTTTTAAATGTTTTATTTTTATTTTATTTTTATCCTGACTGTCTGCATCCTACTTGCTCAGGTAAAAAAGTAAGACACTAAAACTTGTTTAAAGATAAACTATTAACAAGTGTTAACTTAAGGAAACTTCTAGAATATTTTCCATTTGGAAGTCTATTTTTCACGGAAATAGAGCCATGTTGTTTATGTTAATTTGTACCCAGAATTTTCTGCTTACTGAAACGTGATAGAAAGTTCTATTTCAATACACATATATCTAACTACATCATTCATTTTCAAAGACCTTGTGGTATTCCAGGATATAAATGTACCATAATTTATTTAGCTAATATTCTTGAAACTTTTTGAGATGATTCAAAATCAAATGAATTTTTAGTCATAACAATTCTCTGAACATTTATCACACACAGCCTAGTGTTTTCAATTGTTTTACTCAAAAGAGAAAGTCTTGAAAAAATACATCAGATGGTAAAATGTCAATTTGAAGCAGTGTTTTCCACATTAAAAATATTGACATTTTTCTCTTTGCCAAATTTAACTGGCAATTTAAATAACATTTCTGTATTCATTTGTCTTTTATTGATAGAAGAATCAATAGTATTAGTCAGTTGGGTTAGAGTGGGAAGAGCTGGAGGTCTGGAGGCAGGTCCTGGGCTTAGACGTGGCCTTTGATGCTTGATGTTCAAATGCTAAAGGCATTTTCCCTGTTTTCATTGGGAGAGGGTGAGTGATTACTGGAGTTTCTATATTCTGGCACCAACTGGCCTTCTTATTTCCTGTGACACGGAGAGCAAAATCATGAAAATGTTATATACCAGAAGCAGAGAATTCTCTCCTACCTCCAAAAAGCAGAAGTTAGCAAACACTGAGCTTTGTGCGTAAGTATGTGTGTATATATGTATGTAGGTGTCCCTGAAGATAATTTACATTTTTGTTTTATATGTTTTGAAACTGTTGAATTTGAAACAATTTTAGTTTATAAGAAAGTTGCAAAATTATTTAATGAAATACTATAAACCCTTCACCCAGATTCTCTTTCACTATGTTTTATGTACATACACATTTACATACATTAATATATAGCTATTTTTTCTGAACCAACTGAGAATAAGTTGCCCACATTATGCCCTTTTAGCTCCAAGTACTTTTATTGTTTATTTATCAATGGCATTCACTTAAAAATCATAATACATTGATAAAAAAGAAAATTAATGTACGTAAAATGTTATCACCAAGACTAGAGGTCATATTCATATTTTGCCAATTGTTCTAATGTCCTCAAGGATAAAAAAAAATCCTGGTCCTTAGTCTAATCTAGATTCACACAGTACTTTTATATGGCATGTCTGTTTTGTCTTTGTACATCTAGAATATTTCCATAATCTTTCTTTGTGGACTTGATATTTTTAAGGAGTACGGGACAATTATTTTATAGATGCTGCTCCATTTAGGTTTGCCTGATATTATCTTGTGATTAGGTAGAGGTTATGGGTTTTTTTTTTTGTTTGTTTTGTTTTTTTTTGTTTTTTTTTGTTTTTTTTTTTTCTTTGATGGAGTCTTACTCTGTCACCCAGGCTGGATTGCAGCAGCATGATCTTGGCTCGTTGCAACCTCCGCCTCCCGGGTTCAAGTGATTCTCCTGCCTCAGCCTCCCATGTAGCTGGGATTATAGGCATGCGCCACCAAGCTCAGCTAATTTTTGTATTTTTTGGTAGAGACGGGGTTTCACCATGTTGGCCAGGCTGGTCTTGAATTCCTGACCTCAGGCGATCAGCCCGCCTCGGCCTCCCAAAGTGCTGTAGTTACAAACATGAGCCACTGTGCCTGGTAAAGGTTATGTATTTTTGACAATAATACTATCGAAGTGATATTGTGTTTTTCAATGTGCAACAAACCAGGAGCCACATAATGTCTAGGGGTTCCATTAATGATAGTAGTTACTTAGATCATTTGATTAGGGATAGTGTGATTTTGTCATTTAAAAGTATTTATAATTTTCTGTATATAAATATATCTTATATACGTTTTTTCCTAATGTTTGGCATCCACTGAGTTTTCTTGACTGAAAAAATTTATGATTTTTTTCTATATGGTGGTTTTTCTCTTCATTTTTTTCTATGCTAATTAATTACTGTAACAAAGCATTTTCCATTCTTTCCCATTTATTCATTCATGTGTTTATTTATTTATTTATGTTACTATAGACTCGTGGATTCTTATTTTATCCTATGTCTTATAACATATTACTATTAAGATTCGTTTTGATGATCCAATTTTCTAGATTTGGCCAGTGGGATCCAGTTCAAGCTGGCTCCTGTGTCTTTCAAAAAAAGTCATCATTCTAGGAACATTGTCTTATTTTTTGTTACTGTAAGTTTTTCCAGGCTCATTTTGAACATATCCTGCTCCAATTCAAGAATGAAGTATTTATCCAGTGTATTTCCTTTTAGTAAAGAATTATATTAAGGCATCAGGAGCTGGTCTTAGGTATGCTCATTGCTACTGTAATGACGTGTACATACATTTTCAAAATATATTTAAAGACACTTTCCAGTATCTGTCTCTAGCTCTTTATTATAATCCATTAATTCATAGGATATTCCCATTCTCATTTAATATTACAGGGTTTAATTTTGCCATCATCCTTTCTGTGTTTTTATATTCCTACTTTAACATTGAGAAACCTGGATTCCATTACCCATAATGTATTTACTATTTCCTCAGCCTTATAAGAGACGTAAGTAGTTTGAAATTGCTAAATTGTGCCATTGTGAAAAGCAAACCGACTCATTACATTTCAATTAAAAATTTACTTTAATCAGAGAGTATATGTCAAAGTACAGATTTCAAGTACTATTTGGTGTCTTTTTTTTTTCTTTTCAGCACATCTTGACTATTAATTTGAAACACGGTTTTTCTCCCATGCTTGTAGATTCCAGGGATTTGTTTTTATATGTGAAATATCAATATATAATTCTAAAATTTAAAATGATACAAAAATGTATAATAAAGGAATTGTCACCGCTTCTCACCTTTTCAATCCATTTTTAAACTCTTATTCTTCTTTCCAATTCTCACCCTCTCCTTACAGATAACCAGACTCCTTAGTTTATCTTTCCAGTGTTTCTTTTTCTCACATATCTGCAAATACATTATATTGTATCTCCTTCTCTGTTACAGAAACCTTAGCATCCCTTTGATTCCTTTTGCACTTTGCATTTTTCACTTAATGTTGTAGTCTGGATATCACTCCAAATTACCTCTTAAAGATTTTCTCATTTTTTTTTTTTTTACAACTGCGTAGGACTACATTTTATGGAAATAGGCAAGTGTACTCAACCTCTCTAATGGATAAGCACTTCAATTGCTTTCAAGTTTTAGCGATTACAAACAATGCCTTCATGGATAACCTTGTTTATATTTTTGAAGTTGGATCATTAAGGAAAATGTCGAGACATTCATTTCCGAGTCAAAGGTAAATGCATACATAGTTTTATTTATATTGTCAAATTCTCCCTTATAAATGTTGGACCAATTTACATTCACAATAGCAGTGTTTGAGTGTGCTAGTTTCCCTTGAACTTTGCCATTGAAATGTGTTGTCATACTTTTAAATTTTTGTTAACGTGAAAGGTAAGAAATATTTCAGTGGCTCACGCCTGTAATCCCAGCACTTTGGGAGGCCAAGGCTGGTGGATCACCTGAGGTCAGGAGTTCCAGACAAGCCTGGCCAACATGGTGAAACCCAGTCTGTACAAAAAATACAAAAAAATTAGCCAGGCATAGTGGCGCAAGCCTGTAATCCCAGCTACTTGGGAGGCTGAGGCAGGACAGCCACTTGAACCCTGGAGGCAGAGGTTGCAGTGAGCCGAGATTGCACCACTGCACTCCAGCCTGGGTGACAAGAGAGAGACTCCGTCTCAAAAAAAAGAAAAAAAAAAAAAAAGACTGGGAGCAGTGGCTCTCGCCTGTAATCCCAGCACTGTGGGAGACTGAGGCGGGCAGATCACGAGGTCAAGAGATTGAGACCACCCTGGCCAATGTGGTGAAACCCCATGTCTAGGAAAAATACAAAAGTTAGCCAGGGGTTTTGGTGTGCACCTGTAGTCTCAGCTACTCAGGAGGCTGAGGCAGGAGAATCGCTTGAATCCGGGAGGCAGAGCTTGCAGTGAGCCAAGATTGCGCCACTGCACTCCAGCCTGGCGACAGAGCGAGACTCCGTCTAAAAAAAATAAAGAAAGAAATAATATCTCAGTATATTTTAATTTGTATTTTTATAATTGCGATGAGGTTGATCTTTTTTTTTTTGTATTTTTAAAGTTCATTTTTTGTCTATTTTTGGGGGTGATTTTGTCTTTTGCTCATTTTTCTATCGCGTACTTGGTCGTTATTCTAAATCCCATCACTCTCAATTTTTTTTTCTTTCATGTTTCTGCTCATTCCCATGGAGTTAATCTGGGTATGTTCTCCACTTATGCTTCGCCCAGGCTAAGCTGTCAGTCAGTGCAGCTCATTCTGCTACCCTTCTGCTAGCCCTGTTTCCTTGTCACCTAAAATACACTTTTTAAGTTTTTAATAATGTTGAGTCAGCATTAACAGAATAAATTGGCCACATTGGGCCAATTAGTGAGAAGTCTCATTTCTATTTTTGTGGCATTTTAATCCTTTCTTATTCTGTGTTTCTGTTTCCTTGGTGTCAATATTCTTATATGGATATGTGATAGTCTTCCTTAGTGTCTTTCTACTGTCCATGCCATAACAAAGTTCCTTTCTTTGCTAAATGTGAGATGTGTACAAGTAATATCTTACATGGATACTTTGCAACAATTGCATGCTATATGTATTTTCACCACCCCTTAGTTCACAGATGAAAAACCACGTTACAGAGAGATAAATAACTGAATTCATACAGCAAGTAATTGATACAACCAAATTTTCAAACCAGGCAACCTGCTTTCAGAGTTTGAACTCAAAACCAGCAATATATATGCTGCATCAGATAAGTGTATTTCATTGATTTTGAAAACTCAAAGACATATAATACTGCATCCTAAGCTTTAAAAAGACAAAAGTTTGTTGGCTAATGTATTAGGTAAAGAAGTTATCTGATTTTAATAAAAAAGGGCAAAAGTAGGCTGCAGTTCATATATTAAGTAATTACAATTCTGTGGTGTCATTGGTCTTGAAAATTAATTTATATTTAATTTGTTATATCAGATATTAATTATACTTGGTAGAAGGACAAGAATTAATACAGAATTCATTAATAAAAGAGTGTGCTGGTTTATTTTAAACTATCCTTAGATTGTATCTACGCAATCAAGGGATATTTTTGGTCTATTTGATGCGAGAATTATATGATCCAAACTGAAATGATCACTGGGGAAGTACATTTTCACCTGATAACCTTTATTTAACTGACACAATTATATCAGGCATGAACTAGTACAAGTATGCATTCACAGCCACAGCCATGTGCATACTGCATAACATCTGCCAGACTGGAGGCACCATGAGTCACTGGAGTAAACCAGGAGCTTAGCTGACATTGTCACATGGTCATTATCCTTTATTATTGTTAAGAATTAATTTTATTACAAATGTGAACTAAAACTAATTTGAAATAAAACACTAATAAAATGCTAATTAAATAAAACACATGCCAGTACTAGTTATTAAAATTAGATAAAAATAATCAGAAAACAAATTTTTATATCATCAAGTATTGTTTAAATCAAGTTTACTGTGATTGAAATTACCTTACGGTTATCTGTGTGACACAGAGATGAAGGCTGATCGTCAAAGAAAATTCTAGGAAACATACTTTTTCTGACGTTGAAAAGTTGCTTTCTGAGGAGTCTTTATTCCTGCAGAGAAATCAACACAACCGGGAAACTCTTGTCTCTCATGCCTGCTGTTTGCTTATTTTACACAAGTGACATTCATCATGGCTTAGTTGATGGAAACTGAGCAATGCTTGAAGTTTTAAGACTACATCTGCAGAGCCCAAATAAGCAGAAAGCCTTAAAATAATCTCATGAACTCAATATAGTCAGGATAGAATAAGCCAGGAAAATCCCAAATCCCCATTTAACTTAATCACCCTAACAGTTTTAATGGCACACTTGTAAGAAAGTAATTCTTTACTGGTGCCCAACACCTTCTGTATACTTCATTAAGGGTAAAATATATGGTTGAGTCTTTCACATAGTCCACACTTCAGATCGCCCAGAATCTCATTCTGTGCTCACATGTTTTGTGTGAAGTTTGGAATCAGTAGGGTTTTCCTTTGAAAGAACTCACTCCTCCACCTGCCATCTCGCTCTGTCATCTTCAGGTGAATGCCAAATATTGGTTCTGAGTTAATGCTGTGTGGTGTTGTTATTCTAACATCCCAACAGGAAAGTGCCAATTAAAGGGAAAAAGTGTTGAAAATAAAGTTATTTTGTTAAAAGAACATACGTAGGAATGCTTCTCTCTTAAATATAGTTATGGATCAAAATACAGAAATTAAGTGTTTGCATAATGGAAGACTAGACAATTTGAATGAACAAATAATGTAACTATAAATATAATAATAATAACACAGAATTGTTATTCAGTATACTTGTATTTTACATACTGCCTTGTAGGGTTATTTCCAGTGATTAACGTATTTCACCTGGCATTTGTTAGCACACAACTGACTGCCACCACCACAGGACGGAGAGGGGAGTCGGTGGGCATTAACCACAGTGTAAATCAGGTTGTGGAAATGCAGAGGCAGTCACTTGCCTTGGCACTCACACATCTAATGTCTGAAGAAGCCAGGACGAGTTCCTATGTTGTACATTCTCAGTCTAGTTTTTCTTACTGGACTCGATAAGGAAGCAGAATAATTAGATCTATGGAGATATTAAGTATGAGTCAACACAATGCAAAAACTATCAAAGTAGCCAATCACTCTTTGTCTTTGATTGTTGCCAACATCTTTTTTCTCCAACTCTTATTTTGGATTCAGGGAGTACCTGTGCAGGTTTGTTACCTGGGTATATTGCATGATGCTGAGGTTTGGGGTAAGAATGGTCCTGTCACCCAGGTACTGAACATAGTACCTAGTAGTTAGTTTTTCAAACCTTACCTCCCTCCCTCCCCCATATAGTAGTCACCAGTTTCTATTGTTGCCATTTTTAAAATCCCTGAGAATCCAATGTTTAGCTCCCTCTTATAAATGAGAACATGTAGTATTTGGTTTTCTGATCCTGCGTTAATTCACTTAGGGTAATTGTTGCCAACATCTTTAATCAGAGATGCAATGTGTAGAAATATGTTAGCAATGGAAGCATATTGAAAATGGACATTGATACTGTGTCATTTTGTTCTCTCTTAATGACAAGGACCTATCTAAGAGAGTTAAGTTCTCCTTTGTTCCAAAACAACTTGTAGAGTTGTTGTTCCTTTTTTTTTTTTTCTGATTTTAGAAAAAAATATGTGCCATTATGGAAAACATGAAAGTGGAGAAAAATATTAAAAGAACAAAAATCACCCATAGTCTCAAAACCCCAAGTCCATTCCCTGAAGCATTTTTATTATACTTTCCTCCAATATCTTGTGTGTGTGTGTGTGTGTGTGTTTTATGAAGTAAAATTATGCAGTCCTGAAGGGAATATAAAGCAAACCATTTCACTTTTCCAAACTAAATTATTACGGACCATTTTTCTATTGAACAATTACATCACTCAATTTAAATACAAAGTATTTTACCCAGCTATTGTCTGAACAAATCAAAGCTGTCTAATTACAGTATTGTATATTGTACTTTTTTAAAAGCTTGATATATTCAAAGATCAAAAGCATGTAACACCACACCTGGGTTGCCATAGAGATGTCTACATTTTATCAAGATTAAAAAAAACTTAACAATAAATGCATTTTTATAGGTATGCTAAAGACTTACCATAACTTAAACACCCACAAACATTTTTTTTTTTTGCATCAATATTCTGGGAAAAATACAGGTGCAAGATATTATGTGCCTTTTAAATAGCTTCATTTTCTAAACTTACGTCTTTTTTTCTTCTGATGCATCCTTTCCACTCACCTATTTTTTAGTTTAGAATTGTCAGTGAAAAAGTTATGTTTTTCAAACTCTGGAAATATGGCCTGCCAAACTGATAGTGTGAAGTATGGAGAAAAATAATGTGTATACACACATTGCACAACATGTACATGTACATACATGTATATATGCACATATGTAAACACAGATATGCTATATGTGTATGTTATATGCATACAAATGTGTTTTTTATATCTGTTTCTACTCTATGTATATACTTACAAACAGAGCACAAGCATGAGATTCTTAAAATGTACATAGGACAGAATAAAGGTCATCTGATCTAGATAAGAGTCATCATACATATTCATAGCTCTGAAATTATCTGAGAGTTTGGGGAGGATATTTCTCTAGGGACCTTTAACCTTAATGTCAGGGTGTTGATTTGACAAGCATCTCTAAAGAATCCATCACTTTATTAGAAAAAGCAAAGTGTAACATTATTATTTTTTTAACAACCCAAACTTTAAAAACCTTTGGAGTAACTCTTATGAGAAATACCTGACTTTTGTAAGCCATGACTACAGAATTTCATGTTGGCAGTGGCAGAAAAGAGAGTGCAGATGGAGAGGAGCCTAGCTTTCCATCTGTCATAGCAGCATGCAGAAGATACACTGCTTATTGCTTCAGCTGTTTCTAAATGCTGAGATAGAGTCTTGAAAAGGAACAAACTCCAAACTCATGGTTCTTTAAGCAGAATTTGTCAGCTGGATTCAAAAGAAGCAAAAATGTTAGCATGATGAAATAATATGCAGGTAGAGCCTGAGAAAACCTATTAATATCAAGTAGGAAATAGAACAGTCAGAGCATGGTATAGTCATGTTATTGAACAGAGATGTAAAGGGGAGAACTATAAATTCTTACTGCTGAAGTACTAGCCCTGCAGGACATACAGACTGCATGAAGCCCAGGCTTCCTGGGATTTTTTTTTTTTTTTTTTTTTTTTGAGAAGGAGTCTTGCTCTGTCGCCCAGGCTGGAGTGCAGTTGTAGGATCTTGGCTCACTGCAAGTTCCGCCTCCCGGGTTCACGCCATTCTCCTGCCTCAGCCTCCCGAGTAGCTGGGACTACAGGCGCCCGCCACCACGCCCGGCTAATTTTTTGTATTTTTAGTAGAGGCGGGGTTTCACCGTGTTAGCCAGGTTGGTCTCGATCTCCTGACCTCGTGATCCGCCCACCTCGGCCTCCCAAAGTTCTGGGATTACAGGCGTGAGCCACTGCGCCCGGCCTTTTTTTTTTTTTTTTTTTTTTTTGAGACAGAGTCTCACTCTGTCACCCAGGCTGGAGTGCAGTAGCGCAATCTTGGCTCACTGCAACCTCCGCCTCCTGGGTTTAAGCAATTAGAGGTGTGTGCCACCATGCCCAGCTGATCTTTGTACTTTTAGTAGAGACGGGGTTTGGCCGTGTTGGCAGGCTGTTCTTGAACTCCTGTCCTCAACTGATCTGCCCGCCTTGACCTCTCAAAATGCTGGAATGACAGGTGTGAGTCATCACGCCTGGCCAAGTATTTTTAAACTCTTGGTTTCTAGTGTTATTCTCATCTTCCTATTGCTCTGTATGCATCTTTTGGTAACTCCTCCCTTTACTTGAGCTGGCCTGGTTCTCTACTCTTTGAACCACTGAAGCTTAACTAAAACCATGCCCTTTCTAACCACAGTCCATGTGAGTTCCCATAATTTTCTTGGGTTGTTGTAAATTAATTCAATCATCTGCCATCCATTCATCCATGTAATGCAGGAACCACGGTGTCACTTCATTCTTCCCTCCACTTCACTGACTTCCCCGTTTTCCCCATCTCCACCCTAGACCCTGTCTTTCCACCTCATTTTCAGGATTAATTAGCCCTCTTCCTCCTTAATAGTACCCTCTCAGTATAGTCATATCTCTTCCCTGAACTACCATGAAATCTTGGAAACTGTTTTTCTCCTACCAGTCTTGTTTCTTTATCATTCCCCACATTTAATTCTGAGTAATTAATGAGACATAAGAGGACTTTTTGTTTTTCTGATTAAAGGTCTATCCCAAGTTTCTCATCATCTTGTAGTAAGTTCTCCATGGCTTGGTTCTCTCTACTTCAGCTTTAGCTCCTGCAACACTTCCTGCCTCTGATTCAGTTGCTTTCCCCATGTTTAAATTCTTGTGCACCTCCCTCTTGTTCTTCAACACTTAACTAAATGGTCATTTCTTTTTGCAACAAGGCTTTCTTAAACACTCTATCTGGACCCTCCTCTGTGCTTCCAAATTTGTACTACCTCTAACTGAGCACATCTCATTGTCTGTTGAGTAAATATCTTAATTGGTCTTCCACTAAGCTGTCAGCTTGTTAATGGTGAGGACTTTTTTATAGTACATTCAAAACCTGGAACAATGCCTGGAATATGCCAGTGACCAATGAACGTTTGTGGAATGAATTTACCTCGGGCATTGCAGTTCCTTAGATGTACGTGACCTCCAGGGCCCTCTCACATTGTCCCCTTGATCCATGATTCTCTGCAGCAGTGTTGTCCGTGGCGGCTTGTTTACCTGCTGTGCCAGACCCAGTTTGTGGTCATCACTGTGTCCATGAGAATAAACAGACACAGCTCAGAGATGCCTAGAAAGAAAGCTCTGTAGAATAAGTGGGACTCCTGCATGGTTTCCCTGAGAACTGGTTTTGCTAAGATCATCTTTTGCCCTTCAGTTTTATTGTACAGCACCTTCAACATTACCTTCCTGTGATTGACCATACATTTAGAAGAATCCTTCAGTTGCCCTGCTTTAAGAACACAATCAGTTATTTTAGAAAGGTAAGATTGATACCAACATGAAAGGCTGAGCAGCTGTACCGAGTGCAGAGAAATAAGAGTCACCTCAGGCATCAAACTGTTCATAGTCAGATTTAGAGGAAATCAATAAATAAACTTGCTCATACTTTACTATATTTAGTTTTGATTCATTGGATAAAATATATCTTTAAATATCATCATAAGAAAGTGAGTGTTTGGTACCATTTTAGAGTTTGAATTTGAAAAGGATTTCAAGTGTGAGGAGTCGTTCTCCTCTGGAGATATTTCACAGGCACCATCATTAGTGTCAAGTGGAGCAGCCTAGGGGGGCCCCTTTACATTTATTGTCTTTGTTCCTAAAAGATCAAACGTAGTTTTTCCTTGTACGTACAGAAGCTAGGAGCTTGCCACTTTCTCAGGAGGTGCTAGCTCTGGCTGAATTCAATTTGTGTTCAGAACTGCCCGAAGCAGAATTTCATACATCACCAGCTCAGGATCTCACCCTTGCAATTATCCATGTTGAAAGACTGTGGCAGGCAGAATAATGATCCCCCAAAATGTCCACAACCCCCAGAACTTGTGAGTCTGCCACCTTTTATGGCAAAGGGGAATTGAGGCTGGAAGTCAGTTGAGAGAGCATACTGGATTATCCAGGTGGGCCTAATGTAATCATATGGACCCTTAAAGGCATAAGAGGAAGAAGAAAAGCCATTCTAAGAGATGTAATAAAGCTAGAGGAAGTGACGCATGAGCTCAAGAACGTGAGCACCCTCTAGAAGCTGGGAAATACCTTCAGTCACAGTCAGCAACAAAACATAGACCTCAGCCCTACAACTACCTGCAAAGAACTGAATTTTACCAGTAATCTGAATAAACAAGGAGATGGATTTTTCCTTAGAGCCCCTAGAAGGCCTCCTCACTGTCATCTTTATTTTATTCTTCTGAAACTCATGTTGGACTTGTGACCTATGAAACTGTAAGATAATACATTTGTATTGTTTGAAGCTACTGACTTTGTGGTGATTTGTTACTGCAGCATGGAAAAGCAATACAATGAGCTATCAAAAACATTGATCACCTTATCCTTGATAGGGCCAGGAATGCCTTAAAGAATATCACAATCTAATTGCCAAGAAAAGATAAAAATAAATGGAAATTTCAACAATGATAAAGGAACAAGACAGTATTTTGAGACGGTAATTGGTTGAATGGTGTATAGCAGTGCATGATAAATTGGCAAATAAATTCTGCTAAGTTTTCAGCAAAGTCTTAATGAAAAGTCAGAAATAAATGAGTCTCAGGTTCCTAATCTCAAGAATATTTTAGACGCTAAGCACAGAGTTGCTAGATAGTCTTATGAAAATTGCTTCATTTAAGAGAAAATGGCATATCATTAAGTTGAATATTTCATGATATTGAAATGTAGGGACTCCAGTTGAATTTGTCAGGAAAATGGGAAGAAGGAGACTGCATGAGAACCAAACTTAAATGTACAGATTGGAGGATTTGAAAACGGTTGAGATGGAGAGGCTTTCCAGAAGAGAACAAATTGATGAGCATTTCAGAGTTGACAATGTCTACATTACCTCCTGAGACATCAAGGTCAATGCACATGTGCCGAAAGCCACTCACAAAATTGAAGTCCATCCTCCAACTCCAGGCCCACACTTACTCACAAGCATAACTTCCTCACCTCAACAGTGGGCAGTACATAATTTCTGAAAATGAGACAATACAGAGTAATCTCTCATGCATCTTTCTTTGATGTAACAGAGACCAGCCTGAGTTGTAATAAATTTAGGGAAAGCATTCACTATTATTTTGGTTTCTAACTCTTCTCAATCTGGGACAAAATGAATGCCACTGAAAGGCAAGAAAAATACTCAGATAATCTCTCTTTTCCAGCCAAATATGGGAGTATTGAAGGAACAAGGAGATGACAGATAAAGATGCTTTTAGAGCAGCTCCTAATGCTCTCTCTCTCTGTTCCTAAATGAATATGGCCAAGGCTGAGGAGGTTTCTACTTATGAGAAATTGTCCCTGAAAGTACTCCAGCTGCTCACTGACTCCCAGGCCTAAGGATAGTCAGTCTAGAGGAAGATGCTGCGTCTAATATCTCTTCCTGCCTAGGGTTCCGTAGAGTCTAGTTTCTGTGGAAAGCCATGTATGGCGATAAAATGAGTGTGATCCTCTTAGCAAGAAGGCATGGGTGGAATTTCTGCCTTCCGTGTTTGCTAATAAGGGGACTTCATGCCAATTACCTAACCTCTCTGGGTTTTAGTTTTTTCATTTGTCGATGGCACTGATGATATTAATGGAGCCTCTCTCAGAGTAAGCACTTATGGATTTTTGTATGATTTTTAATGCGATGAGATAAATCTTCAGTAAAATTTGAAGTATTATAAAATGTTAGTATTCTTGTAGTTATTATTGCATTAATTTTCTAGGGCTTCTATAATAAAGTACTGTCGATTGGGTGGCTTAAACAGCAAAAGCTTATTTCCTGTGGTTCTGGAAGCTGGAAGTTTAAGGTCAAGGTGCCCACAGGGTTGGTGTCTTTTCAAGGTGCCCACAGGATTGGTGTCTTTTGAGGCCTTTCTCTCGGGCTTGTAGATGGCCATTTTCTCCTTATATGCTCACATGGTGTTCCCTTTTTGCAGGTATGTGTCCAATATTTCTCATATGAGAACTCCAGTCACATTAGATTAGGGCTCACCCTAATGATTTCATTTTAACTTACTTTTCTCTTTAAAGACCCTGTATCTAAATGCAGTCACATTCTGAAAAACTGGCTGTTAGGACTTCAGCATACATAATTCTAGGGGGACACAATTCAGCTCATAACATTATTACAATTATTAATTCCAGTTCAGTGGTTAAAATAATATTTTTGCATTATGACAGTCATAACTTTATCTATTAAAAAACTGAATACCTATTTCACGTTCCTTTGAGGCTTTATAATCACAAAGTCACCACTTCTCAGAAACAAAAGCAAGCTGGCAGCCTTGCTCCACTGTCTCTCCTTTGCTCAAATGGCCACTGAAACCAGTGCCTTGGCCTCTGTGGGCTTTATCACCTTTGACATGAAATACTCTCTTCACAGTATAATCTCATTTTTTGTGCACCATAAGGGAATCCATTTGAAATGTAGAAGTTGACTCCAATGACAAAATACATATGAAAAATAGTAACTTTCTGTAGTAACTCTAAATTTCCTTCTGGGAAAACACACAAACGTACACGTGTACACATACACACACACAACCCCCCACCCCTCCAACTGCTAAAATTTTCATGCCTAATTGATATTTTCCAGAAAACCATTTAAGCTGCTTTCTTCTATTATGGCTTCTCTCCTACCAGGCACAGAAACTGTACTGAATATTAGGGATAAGTTTCAGTAGCCCCATTTGCATTCAGTCCTCAGACAAGCGAAGACATGGACAGTGAGTAACATTTATCCTGGGGAAACTGATCAAGAAAGAGAAGCCACCTGGATAAAACAAGTCAAGGAAATTTGCATACTCAGAACCATGATTTGAGATGCTAATCATTACAGAAGCATGTTTTATTGGTCCATTTAATTTGATTTGGAGAGAAATCTCCCTAAAGGATTTGGGGATTTTGCAGACCTAAGGCACTGACATACAGAGTAAAGTTGGATTTTACTATATTACTTGTCCCTATGGAATCAGTTCATCAAGGCTGCTAATAACTAAAGCAGTGGCTTTCAAACTTGAATGGCTTTAAGAATTATCTGGAGAGCTTGTTAAAATGCCACAGGCTCAAGGAATTCTAACTCATTCAGTCCTGAGTGGGATCTGGAAACCTACACAATATCAAGCCCGCTTCCTCACCCCAAGTGATTTTAATTTTTCTAACCAACACTCACATAGTGTTTATTATATGTCAGACACTGTTATAAGCATTTTATAAATGTTAACTTATTTCAAGTCACACAATTTTTACATTTTTTTTCCCATTTTTTACAGGAGAGCAATGGAGACAGAGTTGCTTATCCAAGGGCAGTCTAGCAAGTGGCAGAGCTGGGGCATGAGTCCAGGCAGTTTTGTTCCAGAGTCCGTGCTCTTGGTCACCTTACTTTGATGCGTATCCTCCACCAGCACACTTTGAGAAACACCACAGTAAGGAATACGCACACAGATGTGACAACTGCCCCTACAAAGCAAATCATTCCTGTCAATTATGGATACCTGTCTCATTTATTGAAAACCTACTTCGTGCCAAGGACTCTGGTAGACAGACAAGTTTTTTAAAGCATTACAAAATAAGTGTGAAAAACAAAATCCTAAATGAGTCTTGATTAACCCAATTGGGTCTCTCTGTGGCCTAATGGTGGAACCAAATGATGTAGCAGAAGGAAAGCAATGTTTCTGTGTTTCCAAATGCTCAAACTGCTTCTGAGTACACCCTGGGCTCCATCCAGTGCAGAACTTAAGAATTTGCTCCTATGTTTTTTACTTTTTCTTTTAAACCAGTATTTATTTGGAAACAATTTCAAATTGACAGATAATATTTAAAGAATAAGAGTAGTATAAAAGACCTTCATATACATTTCACTCAGAATCACTGACCATTAACATTTTACCTCATTAGGTCCAACAGTTGCAAATTCTCTCTCTCTCAGTTTCTCTCTGTCCACATAACGTATACACATTTTTTAAAAATTAATTTTAATTTTTGTTTTAAGCTTCAGTGTATGTATGTACAGGAAGTGCAGGTTCATTACATAGGTAAATGTGTGCCATAGTGTTTCGCTGCACCTATGAACTCATCACCTAGGTATTAAGCCCAGCATGCATTAACTATTTTTCCTAATGCTCTCCCTCCCCCACTCCACCCCCTGGCAGGCCCCAGTGTGTGTTGTTCCCTCCCTGTGTCCATGTTTTCTCATTGTTCAGCTCCCACTTATAAGTGAGACCATGTGGTGTTTGGTTTTCTGTTTCTGCCTTAGTTTGCTAGCTCTACCCATGCCCCTGCAAAGGATATGGTCTTGTTCCTTTTTATGGTTGCATAGTATTCCACAGTATGTACACAATTTTTTAACCATTAGTGCCATTAGCATTTTCTTATGGGGGAAGTATTGGTACTTTGTCCCAGCAAATAAAAATAATAAATGAAAAAGTTGGTTAGAGTGTAATATATCCACTTGTCACAATCATTTTAGCAGCTTTAGAAATGCTATTACTGAAATTATTTATCTGGAATCAGTTATTTCATCATATCATTTAATTTCCAATTGATCATTATAATCAACATTATTATCATAACTGTTTTTATTGAGCACTTGTTATGGGCAAAAGGCTTTTTGCATTATCTTATTAATCCACCCAATATTATAATATTATAATAATCCTCTCTGTCTCTGTGACAGTAATTCTTCCTATCTTCCTCTTCACATGTGCTCCTGCAGGCACGCTGGCTTCCCTGTGGATCTATGAACATTCCAGGCACATTTCGGTCTCATGGCCTTTGCATCTGCTGTTCTATCTACTGGAATATTATTAATCATGATATTAATAAATGAATTCTTGCATTTTCTTCAATGATTCACTCAAATATCAACACTTTAGTGAATCCTTCCTTTTCCATATCATTTAAAATTTCAACACTTCCCTAATATTTTCTTTCCCCCTTCATTGTTGCCTCATTCCCATCTTACATATGTCAATTACATTTTTTTTCCCTTAAACATTAGTTTCAAGAGGCCAAGATATTTTTCTATTGGGTGTATTCCTGTTTAGCAACCCAGAGAAGTGTGTCAGCCATACTGAGGCCTCCTTTAAATATTTGTTGAATAAACACCCATTGTTAAGGTACGGAAAATGAGGCCTAGAGAGGTTAGATCACTTAGCCAAAGACAAGTTTCGGGAAAGTGTCAAAGCAAATATGGTATCAGGAAATTGCCTGTAGGGCCTAAATTCTCCGTACGTCTAGTCAGCTGGGAGAAACCTGAGGAACATAATTGAGTTTCGTCTTTTAGAGTTTTACATTCTAGAGCTTCTATGCTCTTGGTGGAGAAGCTGATGCACACACTTAATGGCTCTGATTTTTGTTGTCACTTGTGCCCAGCTTAACTATGGAAAAGAATTTGATTTCATAAGAATAAGTGCTCTTAGTAGTAGTACTAGAGACACACCTCCCATTTGCAAATATACTTGCTATTTTCCTAGTATTTTTACATACATTGTTTCATTTTACTTCATAATGGGACAGTAAATCCAGGTTCATTATCACCTTTGTGTGGATGAGGAATTGGAAGCCCTTTTGGGTTAGTGATTTTCTCGAGGTCATACAGCAAAAATGTGGTTGTATCAGAACTAGGGCCAAGGTTCCCAATCTCTGACCTGATTTTTCACCAACAATTTTCTTGCTCAGCCGCTCATGCTACTATACTCTGTTATACAAAATAACTCTTCTAAATAAATAAACCAATGCTGGCCCTATAAAATTATAGGTATGGTAAGAACAGTAGTCTCAGTGGTATCTGCAAATTCCTGTATTACTTCATTAATTTTACTCAGCAGTACCAAAGGGTTTTAGGAAGTTGAGCAAGAAGACCCCCTGGTCATTTGGGGACAGACATTTAACAATAAATTGAGCCTGAATCTTATAGTCCCCAAACCTGACTTCCTGAGTGACCAAGCAGAGATGGAATTTAAGGAACAAGCATCTTCCCTGTAAGTCCCATCATTGTGTTCACCACAAATTACAAATACTTATATATGAAATATGCATCTAGAGGCGTTACCAGTGGCAACTCCATATGGGTCTGGGTCTGTAGCAACTCTATTCTTGCCTTCTTTGAGGAAAGAATTTGGCTGAGGGACAGAAGGCAGAGTGAGAGACTGAGGCAAGTTTTAGAGCAGGAGTGTAAGTTTATTAAAAAGTTTTAGAGCAGGAGCAAAAGGAAGTAAATAAAGTACACTTGGAAGAGGGGCAAGCGGGTGCCTTGCGAGATCCAAGTGCCCCATCTGACCCTTGACTTGGGTCTTTAATATATTGGTATGTTCCAAGGTTTGGGTTTCTTCTCCCCTGATTTTTCCTTGTGGCAGGCTGTCCGCACGCACAGTGGCCTGCCAGCGTGTCGGAGGTGCTGCATGCTCAGTGTGTTTACTGAAGTTGTGCCCATGATCACTTGGCATTTTTCCCTTACCAGTCGAGTGCTGCAAGAAGAAGGTCATAAACCAGTTAAACTCTGCCATTTTGCCTGTTACTGCACATGCTTGAGCTCCACTTACCCAGCTCCTGCGATCTCATCAGGAAGCTGCTCATCACCAGCTTCAGGTGTTTCCCATCTATTGGGAGACTGCCTTTCCCTGGCACCAGCTGCAACCAATTATTATTTTAGAGCAAGTTTGACATCTGCCCAACCGTCTGCTAATGGTCACCTGACATTTCTGGGAGTGATGCTCTCTTGCCCTGCTCATGTATGCCTAGATACCTACTCTAACAGAGGTATTCAGTTCCGTAAAATAATAGATTTGTTGTCATTGTCAGTAGCCATCAGTTATGTTTTATATTTCCAAGCAGTTTTTAACTTCATCACATCTCTTAAGAGCAACAGCCGTATGTAACTTTTATTATTAATAACCCAGTGATGTTAGTATAAGTAATAATCTCCTTAATTACCACATTCCAAAAAAATGTCTCGGGGTTGTTAATGGCTTATCTAACATCTCACAGTTAATATCACTTATTCTCTTGAATGCAAGTCTGTGCTTTTGTCACCACATTGCAGTGGGGCAGGAGAAATATCTGGCATCTACTAGGAACTTAGTTGACATCAGCTTTCTCTTTCTAATTCTCTCTTCCCTATAATTAAATTATCTTATCATCTTGCAACTTTGTGAGATGATTGCGTATTTTAATCTCCGTTTTGATGAATAAGAAAGCCTTTGTAATGGATCTCAAGAAGAGGAATTTAAATCCAACAAACAAAGAGAAAATAGTGCACTGAATATTTGCATTGGGTTTTATATGTTCCAGGTCACATTTCAAAGTTGCCTTTCTGTTAGACTTCATAGTTGTCAGGGCTACTAGGAAACAAGTTCCTTGACGGCTCTTTTAGAATTATTTGCACTCAGAATTCTTTGGTTCTATTCCAGTTATTTACTGTTGCACAACAAATCTATGTCTAAGGTTAGTAGCATAAAACCACAGGATTGCATTCTATATCATAGTTTTCTTGGGTTAGAAATTTGAATAAGGAGATTATTGTCTTCCACTGGATATTAACGGAGATTGCTTGATAGTGTTCAGTTGCAAACGTGCTGGTCTGGAAAGCCCAAGAAGGCCTCTTGGTGCCTTGGAAAGGATAGGACCCTCGAGTAGATGGTGCCTGGATGAGATGGCTGGGAGCCTGGGTTCACCGGGGACTGTTGACCAAATGACACATGTGGCCTTTGTGATATGATGATTTCAAAGTGGTTGGATTTCTTACATGGTATCTCAGGGCTCCCATAGAGCGTTTTCCAAGAGACAGGAAACAGGTAGTGTAGCAAAATTAGTAACACCACTTCCACTATATTCTACTGATCAAATAGTCACATGCCTGTTCAGATTCAGAGGAAAGAAGGAAAGAGGTATAGACACAACCTCTCAGGGAGAAAAACATCACCAAATTTGTGGCCATCTTTAATATTCACATTTCATGTAGTTCTACTCTATGAGGATAAGCATGCTGGTATCTGATCTGGTCACAGTCTGAACTGTACAGCAAAGGATGAGGGTAGTGAAATGTGGAGTGATGAGCATTAGAAGATGCTTTTTGCCTCTGAGGAGGATTTCCCTAGGCAAAAAGTGGAAAGTAGTTAAAATTGATCTTTGCTGTTCTGTTTGCTATTAATCTTGAGGTGAAGGTTCTGGCAAACATGTTGAATAACTGAATTCTGCTCTAGCAAACAACGCCCGCCATCCCCATATCTACTAAGTTTCCTAAGACCATGTTTCCCAAACTGCTGCAATTCTGTATCATGTTGACCATTTTTACCATATCAGGGTCCTTCTTGAAGTATTGTTTAACTTCTTTTTCTAACTTAATTTACTCCATTTTATTTAAGTTTTAAGATACATTTTTCATCACTCTTATAAATGGAAAGCCATTATCACTTGTCATAAGTAGAGATACTTCTGAAAATAAAACCATTATCTACAGCAGAGGTGAGCAAACGTAGTGGTCATTGGCTAAATCCAGACTTTGGCTTGTTTTTGCACAATCTGCAAGCAATAAAATAAAGAAGGGAGGGATGGATTATGGACAAGAAGGAGAGAAACACAGAGGGAGAAAGGAAAGAGGAGGAAAGGAAGTTGGGAAGAAGGGAAAAATGGAGGAAGAAAGAAAGAAGAATGTAGCAAAGACCATACATGGCCTGCGAAAGCTAAAATATTTACTGTCTGTCTCTTCACAGAAAAAGTTTGATGACCCTTTCTCTAGAGCTATGCTTTTCTTCTTGCTTGTCCTTCCAATGCAATATTATGTGCTTGTGTTTGCTGCCTGCTTAGAAAGCTGCATTTGATGCTGTGTGGTGACCAACAAATCAATCATGCCTCCTTTCCATGGTCTAGAGTTGTTGCTGAGCAGCAGCTGTCCAGGCGAGGGATTACAATTCTGAGCCATGGCATCTAGTGGAGCCATGAGAATGGTTCTTACTAATGGTACATAAACAAAAGTGATGGGTGTCATTTTGGGTTCCAGGTGGTTAAATACTGGTTGCATGATCCTTCACAATCTCTGTCCTCTCATGCCTTTGTCTGCCAGTTGAAAGATGCTTTGTTTAAGGAAATAAGATATTTTGCAATTTACACTATGGGATCTGATGAACAGTTGTCAGCCTTAAAAACACATACCCATTAATTTTTATTGTGTCCCATTGGCCATAATTATACCAAAAATACATATGCTGGCGAAGTTATAGTAGCAATAACCTTATTACAGGGTAACTATTATGTGGGCCTGTATGTGACAGAAATTGGTAGTTAAGAAATAATACTGATTTTCAGGCTATGAGGGCAAAATATTGCTTGTCAAATTCATTCAGGGATATTTTCTGAGTCCCAAAAGTAGATGTGAGCTAAGAAGTAAATTAATCAGTTTAGGATTTCTATTAACTGAAATTCCAAAGGTCTTAATATTAACAAATTACAATGATTAACTCAGACATAATTTCAGTTGCAGGCATGGGTAATCCAGATAATGGCATGTTGAAGACATATAATAGAATAAAACCCATGCAGTACTAAAAAATAAATAAATACATAAAAGTAGGTTTTATTTAGTCAATTTATCAAGGTTACTATTTGTTGTTGCTAATTGCAGTACTTTTCATGTGCAAAACACTGCAGTTTCTTAAATGTGATGTCAATTAGCCTCACATTGAATAAAAAAGGTAAATAAGTTTTATCAAGTTTTCTTCCTCCTCTTTCCCTTCCTTCCTTTCTTTTTTCCTTTTTCCTCAAAGAAACAAAGATACCATACAGTCAAGTAGCTTGTCCACAGTTATGTGAGCTTTTCTATAATCCATTGGTATCTTCCCTACCATTTCCATTTTCTCCTCAAGCAGTAAGCCCTTTAATTCATTTTTAGTTTATATTTCTAGTTTAGTGATTTTTTTTAACATAAGCAAATACATATGTGGACATCTATCTATCTATCCACGTCGCCACTTCCTCACACAAAAGGCAGCACCCTATACATAGTTCTACACTGGTTTTTTTGCTTATTTTCTATTTAACGTATATCCTGGAAATTGCCATAGCAATGTATAAAGATACCTTTAAGCTTTCTTACAATCACATAATAATCCAATGTGAGGATATAATATAGTTTATGTAACTTGTCCTTTTTGATATGTATTTGGAGGTGTTTCTAGTCATTTGTTCTTAAAAATAATATCAAAGGCCAGGTGTGGTGGCTCACGCCTGTAATCCCAGCACTTTGGGAGGCCGAGGCAGGTGGATCACCTGAGGTCAGGAGTTCAAGACCAGCCTGATCAACATGGCGAAACCCCGTCTCTACTAAAAAAAATACAAAAATTAGTGGAGTATGGTATTGCATGCCTGTAATCCCAACTACTAGGAGGGGCTGAGGCAGGAGAATTGTTTGAACTCAGGAGGTGGAGGTTGCAATGAGCTGAGATCGTGCCATTGCACTCCAGCCTGGGCAACAGAGCGAGACTCTATCTCGATAATAATAATGATAATATCAAAAAACTGAGAAAATATGACAGCAAATGTTCTTAGAAAAACTTAGAATGTATGATAAAATACCATTGTCATACATTCTCTCATATTTGGCTACATACTTTGGAAAAGATTCTGAGATGTAGGATTACTGGGTCAAAAAGCAAATGCATGTACAATTTTGTTGAAAAAATGCCTTATTACACTCTCTATGATGTTTCTTCTGTATTTCATTCCCAACAGTAATGGAAGAAAATGCCTGTTTTCCCACAGGCTCACCTTCTTTCCCAAGACAGGATTTTGGCTGTTTTCTTCTGGGAATAAAATACTTCTCAGTGTGATGCTTTTTGTTTTGTTTTTGTTTTTGTTTTTTTTCCATTTTACTTGTTTGCCAATCCTATTATTTATGCAAAAACTACACAACTTTTTTTAAGTTTATATTCCCACTAATCATAGTAGCATTATATTCTTACTTGAGTTTTCATTGCACTGTTCTCATAAGGAACTTGAGTATCTTTTCATATGTTTAAAACTTTTTTCATTTTTTATTTTAAAATTTTTGACTGACAAATTAAAACTGCATGTATTCTAAGTATATATGTGATGATTTGATATACATATGTAATGTGCAGTGATTAGCACAATCAAATTCACACATTCACTAGCAGCCATGCTGCACATTAGACCTCCAGGACTTGTTTTATAACTGAAAGTTTATAACCTTTGACCAACATTGTCCTTTTTTCTTTTCTTTTTTTTCTCTTTCTTTTTTTTTTTTTTTTTTTTTCTTTTGAGACGGATTCTCACTAAGTCGCTCAGGCTGGAGTCCAGTGGCACGATCTTGGCTCACTGCAAGCTCCGCCTCCCGGGTTCACGCCATTCTCCTGCCTCAGCTTCCCGAGTAGCTGGGACAACAGGCTCCCGCGACCACGCCCAGCTAATTTTTTTGTATGTTTAGTAGAGACTGGGTTTCACCACGTTAGCCAGGGTGGTCTCGATCTCCTGACCTCATGATCCGCCCGCCTCGGCCTCCCAAAGTGAACATTGTCCTTTTTCCTACTCCTTAGCCTCTGGTAAACACCATTCTACTCTCTGCTTCTATGAATTTGAACTTTTAAGATTCCACATGTAAGTGAGATTATACAGTATTTGTCTTTTTGTGTCAGGCTTATTTCATTTAACGTAATATCCTCCAGTTCATCAATGTTGTCAAAATAAAATCGGTATCTTGAAGATACACTTCGTGCACCCCCATGTTCTTTGCAATCTCATATTTATTGCAGCATTGTTAATAATAGCCAAGATATAGAAACAAGATTAGTGTCCACTGATGGATGAATAGCTAAACAAAATGTAGTCTATGTATATACAATGGAAAATTATTCAGCCATAGAAAAGAATGAAATCCTGCCACTTGTGACATATTTGAAGACATTTTAATGTCTTTCCATAAAGTGTTTGATCACATGTTGTGTCCATTTTTCTTTCAGCTTGCTAGTTTTATTCTTCAACATTCTTTGAAGCTTTAAATATTAGGCATACTAAGTTTTTATCAGTGATAGAATTTACAGTATCTGAGATATAATTTACAATTAATCTAAGATCCAAGTAACAATTATTACAATTATTACTCTAAGATCCAAAACACAAATATTTATTGTAGTTGGTCATATTTTGCTTAGGTATTTTTGGCATGTAAACTATTATACTTTTTAAAAACTTATGTAAAAAATCTATTGACCTTTTCCATAATGCTTTTGGAAAAGGAATATATCATCTCTAGGTAGGTGTATAAAGAAAATAAACTGTTCTCTTTAATACTTGAATAATTTCTGCTTATTTGCATCTCTTACCCATTGGGTATTTGTTGTGGTATCTGTGTGTAAGAAATATTTACAGGCTTTTTAAAACTTTTATGTTTGGTGATCTAGTTCCTCATATGCCATGTATTTAAAAGTTAATCTTTTCATTAATGACTTGGAAAAGCATATTTTCATTTATTCATATAGCATATCTTTCCTTTTAGTGTTTCTCTCAGTTTCAAAAATCATTCAGTCTATTCATTAACCAATATTTATTTAATAAAATTTGTAATACAGAGGCTTCATAACGGCTTCAATATATGATGGAGTTGGCTTACCCTACCATCATGAAGAGGATACCTGTGGAACCTTCCTAAGAAACAGACATTGATCTTCCAAAGCAGGTGAAGCTCAAATACAGCAAGAGTCGCACATAGCTGCATACCTGGGGCATGCCACATGGAATCATGTGTTGCACACACAGGAAACAAAGGGTGTTTTTAAATGTCAGTCCCACATCAAAAGATGCAAAGGCAAATGCTTTTAGTAGCAGAATTTGATTTGTAATTGAGCTTTTTCTCCCAAACACAATTCTTTTTGTTTGGGGTGGGGAATGAATTTCAGCAACTCCATATATGTTTGTTGAACAAATGAATGAATTAAAGAATGAACTCCATGAACTAAAGGCAGGAATTTCCATGCTCAAGTTTGTAAAATATTCTTCTATACAATTATAGTTAGGGCAAATAACAATACAAAAATATATTCAGGTATGCCTAGACCATAAGAATGGCTCAGACTGGATTGTACTGGAAAAATGTATGGATCTGATTATTGAATAAAATAAATTATTACTTGTAAAACGAAAAATTGGAAAAGAGCCTTAGCAGTTGAATATAAAATATTAAAGAGTATTAAAAATGACATAGGCATTCATTCACTTGACCAGTGTTCGTTTTATGCCTACTACATAGCTAGCAAAAATCTATGATGAATTACTAAAGTGAACAGTGTTTGTACACTTAAGATAAAGCATTTAGTAACCACGAAACTCCTGCTTGAAGTCCTTAAAACCATGAAATGTCAAACCAAACCCAGATTCTCAGTTGACAGATTGTTGTATTAATCCATTCACCAAAATGCAAATATTAATAGAGAATGCATTTTTATTTTATCAATACATGCTTTAATGTTGTCTGAAATGTTTGGGGAATAAAGAAGAGAAGTAATGGCTTTAAAAGAGTTAAGTTCATGTTTACCCAGGTGGACAATCACAGTCTAAATGCTGATTAAAATTTTAGGTCAACTTGGAGGGAAAGAACCTGAGATCACTCACAGAATTCTGCTCAAGTGCCTTCCTACTTTCCGTCAATAACGTCAATTGATGTAGAGAGGATTTTTTACAAATATAACTTATGAACAATTTAAATCTGGAAGAGCAAGCAATTATGGTGAATTCTAGAATCAATGCTCAGAATCAAAAGGCTGAAATGACACATCAAAGCTAGCAAAATGAAATCAACTGGAATCTAACAGGTTGACATTCCATGTTTTAAAAACATAATTATAAAGGTAATTGTGCAAGAAGTCATGGAATACCAAAGCTCAGAAACAAAAGTTTAAACAAAACTTTAACTTGAGTTGACATTAAAATTTAAAGTATAAGTAATATCCTAAGACTGGCATTCATAATTGTGCAGATATTTTCCAGTATTACAATGGATAGTTTCTGCCAAATAACTCATCTAACAGACAGTCATGCATATCGGTATCTATACTTTCAGATACACATTTTTTCAGCAAACCAGGTACTGTAAAGTATAAGGCCCTATAATGTTCTTTTCATTATCTAACCCTCTAACACTTTGAAGCACATTAATTCTTTTTATCTCCCTGCTTTTTGTTTCCCTCTCATTCTGACTTACATTGGTTAGCCAAAGGAGCAGCAGAGTATTGCAGTCTGAGATTAAAGTGAACCTGCTTTCCTTTTCTTTTTTTTTTTTCCCCCATATGGTATTTGTTTTCTTTATTATTATTATTATTATTATTATTATTATTATACTTTAAGTTCTAGGGTACATGTGCACAACGTGCAGGTTAGTTACATATGTATACATGTGCCATGTTGGTGTGCCGCACCTGTTACCTCGTCATTTACATTAGGTATATCTCCTAATGCTATCCCTCCCCCTTACCCCCACCTCACGACAGGCTCCAGTGTTTGATGTTCCCCACCCTGTGTCCAAGTGTTCTCATTGTTCAAGTCCCACCTATGAGTGAGAACATGCGGTGTTTGGTTTTCTGTCCTTGCGATAGTTTGCTGAGAATGATGGTTTCCAGCTTCATCCATGTCCCTACAAAGGACATGAACTCATCCTTTTTTATAGCTGCGTAGTATTCCATGGTGTATATGTGCCACATTTTCTTAATCCAGTCTATCATTGATGGACATTTGGGTTGGTTCCAAGTCTTTGCTATTGCAAATAGTGCCACAATAAACATACGTGTGAATGTGTCTTTATAGCAGCATGATTTACAGTCCTTTGGGTATATACCCAGTAATGGGATGGTTGGGTCAAATGGTATTTCTAGTTCTAGATCCTTGAGGAATCGCCACACTGTCTTCCGCAATGGTTGAATTAGTTTAAAGTCCCACCAGCAGTGTAAAAGTGTTCCTATTTCTCCACATCCTCTCCAGCACCTGTTGTTTCCTGACTTTTTAATGATCGCCATTCTAACTGGTGTGAGATGGTATCTCATTGTGGTTTTGATTTGCATTTCTCTGATGGCCAGTGATGATGAGTATTGTTTCATGTGTCTGTTGGCTGCATAAATGTCTTCTTTTGAGAATTGTCTGTTCATATCCTTTGCCCACTTCTTGATGGGGTTGATTTTTTCTTGTTTAAGTTCTTTGTAGATTCTGGATATTAGCCCTTTGTCAGATGGGTGGATTGTAAAAATTTTCTCCCATTCTGTAGGTTGCCTGTTCACTCTGATGGTAGTTTCTTTTGCTGTGCAAAAGCTCTTTAGTTTAATTAGATCCCATTTGTCAATTCTGGCTTTTGTTGTCATTGCTTTTGGTGTTTTAGTCATGAAGTCCTTGCCTATGCCTATGTCCTGAATGGTACTGCCTAGGTTTTCTTCTAGAGTTTTTATGGTTTTAGGTCTAACATATAAGTGTTTAATCCATCTTGAATTAATTTTTGTAAGGTGTAAGGGAGGGATCCAGTTTCAGCTGTCTACATATGGCTAGCCAGTTTTCCCAGCACCATTTATTAAATAGGGAATTCTTTCCTCATTTCTTGTTTTTGTCAGGTTTTTCAAAGATCAGATGGTTGTAGATGTGTGGTATTATTTCTGCAGACTCTGTTCTGTTGCATTGGTCTATATCTCTGTTTTGGTACCAGTACCGTGCTGTTTTGGTTACTGTAGCCTTGTAGTATAGTTTGAAGTCAGGTAGTGTGATGCCTCCAGCTTTGTTCTTTTGGCTTAGGATTGTCTTGGCAATGTGGACTCTTTTTTGGTTCCATATGAACTTTAAAGTAGTTTTTTCCAATTCTGTGAAGAAAGTCATTGGTAGCTTGATGGGGATGGCATTGAATCTATAAATTATCTTGGGCAGTATGGCCATTTTCACGATATTAATTCTTCCTATCCATGAGCATAGAACATTCTTCCATTTGTTTGTGTTCTGTTTTATTTTGTTGAGCAGTGGTTTGTAGTTCTCCTTGAAGAGGTCCTTCACATCCCTTGTAAGTTGGATTCCTATCCTATCCTATTTTATTCTCTTTGAAGCAATTGTGAATGGGAGTTCACTCATGATTTGGCTCTCTGTTTGTCTGTTATTGCTTTCCTTTTCATTCCTGACAGGCAAGGTGAGCGCCCTGAACAACACAGCTCCCCTGATCTTTTCCCCCTACCTACTAAAGGGGGTTGTCCTCCTAAAGGGGCACTGAAAAATCACTGACATGAGGCAGATTGATTGATAGGAGAAAAGATGTACAAATTTATTTAATGTGTACACGTGAGAGCCTTCAGAATAAAGACCCAAGCTAACAATAAGATACAGAAGCTTTTATATTAATATCATCTTAGTTGATAGAAATAATGTGGACTCAGAGCATGCCCCACAACAGGTTTTAGTTGTAAGGCAGGTTATAAGAGAGAGAAAGGAAGAGGCTTGACTGGCAAGGGTGGTCTTGTTAGGTAAATGAAGCTTCCCTCAGAGAAAATAGATGGTAAATGTTTCCTTTTAGACTTTTAAAGGTGTCAGCCTCTCAATCTCTCTTAGTTCTAGGAAAGGCATACAAAAGGCCTTAGTAAGCTGAGCGTGGTGGCTCATGCCTGTAATCCTAGCACTTTGGGAGGCCAAGGCCTAGCACTTTGATCATGAGGTCAAGAGATCAAGACCATCCTGGCCAACATGGTGAAACCCCGTCTCTGCTAAAAAAAAACAAAAAAAACAAAAAAAAAAACAAAAATTAGCTGGGCGTGGTGGCTTGTGCCTGTAGTCCCAGCTACTAGCGAGGCTGAGGCCAGAGAATCGCTTGAACCCAGGAGGCAGAGGTTGCAGTGAGTCGAGATTGTGCCACTGCACTCCAGCCTGGTGACAGAGTGACACTCGGTCTCAAAAACAAAAAAAGAAAGAAAGAAAAAAGAAAGAAAGGAAAAAAACTGAAAAGTCCTGGGTATATTAATGGAAATTCTCTACAGAGGCAAAATTTTTCCCCAAAAAAGATACCTTTGCAAGGCCACTTCTGTTTGCTGGCACTGCAGCAGGCATTTTATAATATGTGAAATAAATATATTTTTGGATAAAATATATTTATGTCTTTTGGTACCTACTTTGAAACTTAAAACAATTTTTACACATTAAAAGCCAAGCTGATTGCTTTGGTAGAATTTGTGTTAAGGGTCGTTAGTTAGAGATAGCCAAAAAAGTAGAAAGATAAATTGGTATATACAGAAAAGAACAAATTTAAACATATTGTTTAAATCTTCTTTAGTCTGTTAGTCATGAAAATATATCAGTTCAGTTAAACAATTGTGTCTCATTCCAAGAGGTGGCATTGCAGATGGGCTTTGCCTTTACGTGTGATGCAGGCAACCAGCTCTCTAATAAAGCATTTCTATGGAAACAGAAGGAAAACAAAGGTTGATGCATGGCACGGTGCCTCTATAGACTAGCTTTTCTAGAGTTTCTAGGGCATCCTCAGATTGCAAGGGCAACCTGACAGATTCTTCTGGATTGTAATTTGGACCAAGAGTTCAAGTGAACTTTCTGAGAAATCCACACATCAGCAGGGAGGCATGAAGGTTGTTCATATATAAGTTGCTATTATTTTTTTACTGACGTTTAAGTTGTCTAGCTTCAATTTGCAGGGCTTTAAGAAAAGCACAGTTTTAATTTCTAATAATTCCAAGCCAGAAAAATGGAAGAAAAAATGGGAAATAAAAAAATGTTAGTTTGGAGACTTGTAACAAGTAAAGAATTCAGAATTCAGACTAAAATGTAGAGAAAAAATGAAAACTCAAAACTAATGGACAAGGCTAGAATCTAATAATAGGTATATGACTGTCTCTTTTGAAACATAATTTTTCTCTCTCTATTCCCCCATTTTTTACCAAAGACAAATCATAGCAGGACCAATTTATTTGCAACACAAGTTTTAGTCTTATTATACTTGGCTTGATTAATTGCTTAAAGTTCAACAGGAATCATTGTTCATATAGGCTTTTAGACGTTGGCTTTGCTGGAACTTTTTTCATAAGGAATCTCAGATTGGACTTTTAAAAACCTTTCAAGCCCAGCCAATAACTTACCTCTGCCTGCAGATACCTATTATGAAGTGGGTAAATTCCTCTCTTCTTGAAGTCCTCAAAAAACTTGAGATTCTTAGGCCTGTCAGAAAGTGGCATTCTTTACTTACCATAGGTCAGGAACCCTGCAAAGTAACCATGTAGACAAGAGACCAGTCATTCCAAGGGGCTATTATTGGCTCTATAAAATCAATCTTAATTCCTCAAAGCATTCTGGTCATATCTAAAGGTATGCCCTTCCAGCTGAAGCCATGCTAAATTAACCACTATCTCTATTTATGTCCTGTTAAAAATGAAACAGATTCTTACTCAACTTACACAAATAACTATATTGCCATGAATTAAGAATACTTACAAATAATTTCCAAATTCTGGAGAAATCAGACAGAAAGAAATATGCTTCTAAGTTTGTTTACAAGAGTATATTTACTCAGTTGTTAAAAGCTATAAATAGCTCAAAAGAAAAAAGTTTTCTTGACTCTGAAAAACAAAACATAAAGAATCAGCAATGTTTTAAACAAAAAAAGTCATAAAAAATTATTTCAGTATCTAATAGTCCAGTCCCATGCAATTAACTCCTGTTCTTCCCGATATTACACTAACAATCCTCATTAACACTTTAGCTCTCCAGTGAAAGTTCTGGAAGTTTTTTCTCTAGTCCAATGGCACAATCTCCAAAATTAACAGAAACCTGCTTTCAAGCATGCCTATCCAGGTCCTTTCTATGAACTCCCCATAAGAAGCAAGTTTTGTACTCTAGCTGATGATAAACCACTTTTTGAGGAGAATCAAAGCAAAACAACTGTGGATGACAAAAGTCTTAGCACAGCCATGGTGAAAGACACAATTGACAAGGAAATTTGGTTACTTCTGTGGCATACAAAAATTTATCATAATAGATATAATTATTACTGACAACATACTGAGACATATCAGAATTATAGAAATCCCATACTATTTTGGAACACACACTAATAACACATTTATATAAATATAACCCAAATAAAGTTAAACATTATTTTATATTTCACAATGCTTTCTATATGATTTTAACATACCAAATAAGCTGAATATGTCTTTCAGGGGACCTAATATCTAAAAAGCTAATGAGGTCAAAAAGACAGAATTTGAAATTTGATTTTGGAAAGTTTGTCAAATATGTAAGATTTTAAACATCTGATGTCAAAAATTAGGCAAATATTTTAGAAAGCAAAAACATTTATGCTTTGAGAGGAGACTCAGTTTCTTAAACAATAAGGCATAATAAAGATACGAAGACAACTGAATCTGTCTTTCTCTTCCCTTTTTTTGCAGTTTACTCAACAGGTTAAAAAAAATCTGTTACTATCTCTTACTATTAACTGAAAACTTTATCCAAAAGAGAAAACAAAATTTTACTTTTCAATAGCATATTATTAATGCTAAAGCTTATTTCAATGAAATCTTATGAACAAACTCATCCAATCTCAAACAGTTTGACCATAAAGTAAGATTTTTATAGACCCTTTTATAAACCTTAATAATTTTCTATTAAAGAGCAGATCAATGTTCCAAGAAAACCATTACTGCAACACAAAGGCCCTGATTCTGGCCCTGTGTCAGTGTGCTTTTGATATTAATGTTTAATTTATAGAAAAAATGAAATAATTCCCTTTAAATTTTAGCCAACTTGATCACAAACAAAATTCCTTTTTTAACATTAATCTGCCATAAACCTTCTATAACTTACTTAAACCTTCAGTTTTTTTCTAATATTTTACTTTAGGACAAATATTTCCTTTCCTCCCCAATTTTCTATATCCGTTTAGTTTTATCCATCATTTTTTTCTTTAATTTAAAACAATTCTTATAAACCTTTAAATGAGTCAGAATTACTTTTTCTTTAACAAAAACCACATTTCCATGTTTTTTATAACCTTTTTACACGTCCTACTTTATTATATGCTTTGTATATAGAATTGTTTCTTTTATATCTAGTAGTTTTAATTTTATTTATTACAGTGTTGACTGTAACTCTTGTTTTTAGTGGAAAACCTAGGAGGTAAGCAATTTTAATTATGTATTAGATTCAGAGCCCAGAACAAAGGACAGAGCTGCAGATAATGCCTTACCCTTTCCTGCATAGCCAGGAGGCATAGCTAGGCCAAGAAGAACTCATGTCTATTTGTTTAGAGCCTAGAATCTAATAGTTGTAAAACAGGCAAGTCAAATATTTGTCAAAAATATCACACATAAATATCACAATTTATGACCTTAAAACACCTAGCAAAGGCAGTATCTGACCTGCCTGTGTAATTCAGACTGAATTTCTAAATTAAAGTCTGAAGATGTTTCCATTTTATCTTACCAGTAACTTTCAAAAACTCTTAATTTACCAAAGATTAGTCACATGAACTATGAAACTATGTGAGGTAAAATTTTTATTTTTCTGTTTAAATATTTGATTTAAGTATTTTTTTTCCTTAAGACAAGTAATTAGAGCTCTTTTACATATTTTAGTAATGAAACATCATATGTGCTTATAAATGTGTATAAACACACAGACATACAGGCAGAGAAACAAATCTTCACTTGTCATATTTCAAAGTTTCTCTCCAGTATTTTAGACTATCAGTCTCTTGATTACCTGTTTTCTTCTCTAAGCAATTATTAGCTAGGCAACCCCAAATGTGCAATTCTAAAGGGACAGCTCTTGTAAAACAAAGTAGAAAATTTATATCTTAGAGTACAAAGGTAAAACATTTGGCCTAAATATTGTATCATCATCTGCTCAAACCACGGGAAAAAATTATGTGAGTAAAATTCAGTTAAGATGACCAGAGAAAGCACCTTAAACAAAGAGATGACTTGTAAATTTTAAACAATGGTAAACACTTTTAATGTACACAGGTAGGCACCCTTTCAAATGGAGATTTCCTTAAATATGTAAATTTCTTTTACAAAAGAGTGTCAGGATAGCTAGCTAAATGCTAGAAAGTTGTATTTTGGCTATTTTACTTAACTCGTTTCATAATTAGATGACTAGCTTCAGAGTGGAGCCCCTTGGTGAATATGGGAAGAAAAGCATACAGTTTTTAGGGCTTACTATTTAACTACATGAGAAGCAGGCACAGCTGGAAGTAAAACGCATATCCCTCAGAATCAAGGATCCCATTTGCACATTGAATCCTGGGTCCCCCAAAAGAGACAAACACAACAGGAGGAGACAGTGCAATGTTTCCACAGTATACTTCACTGTGAGGACATTCCCTGGAGGCTGCTAGGCAACCCAACACCAGTCAGCACACTCTATAATCAGCCCATTCCCTAGACATTAAACACACCAAGGTCAAGTTTTTTCACAATACAAAGTAATTTCTCATGTCCTTCAAAGCCAAAGAGATCAGGTAAGGCAATGCAAAAGAGACTGAATATGACAAAGAGGAAAGAAGAATAAGGTGGATTAAAAATAAATAAGAGAACAATTTTTAAGAAAGGAAGCAAACGTAAGTACCATGTACATAATTTAGAAAAAAGTTTTAGCCAACTAAAAATATTCCGCAAAACAGGATCCAAAAAGAGAAAAAACATAAAGGTCATATATACATATATATACACACACATTTATATACATTATATATTAATATATATTTTATATGCATTATATATATTTCATTTACATATATAAATAAAATGTGTGTGTGTAGCTTAGATATCAGCTTTTAATTAAGCAGATTTCTAACTGTAGTGCTCACTCCTCAAAAATAAAAAAACTTTCAAAATCTTATTACTGGATTTCAGCTGGGACAAATAGCTTGTCTTGGCTTTTGAACTCCTTTACCAAAGGTCTAAAGCAGTCCTCATAAGATCTAGAAATATCAAATCAAAAGAGACTAAGTGATTCCTTCATCAGACCAACTCTTCTGTCAATGGTTGAGAGAAAGTGTTACTCTCAAACTATGATTGTAAAGTTGTCTATTTCTCCCTTGAAATCTTTCAGATTTTTGAAAATTCTAAACTTCAGTTATTAGGTATATAAACATGTATGATTGTTGTGACTTCCTCTCCCTTTTATCATTATGAAATATGTCTCTATGTTTGGTAATACTAATTATTTTGAAGTCTATTTTATTTGATATTATTATTGCTACTTCAGCCTTCTGACACTTGTAGATCTTTTTCCATCCTTTTACTCTCAATTTCTCTGTGTCTTTGTATTTAAATCTTTCCCTTTTGGATAGCATATATTGGGGTCTTATGGGCCTTTTTTTTAATATTTGAACATAATCTTTGCCTTTTAACTTGAGTGCTTAGCCCATAAACATTTACTATAAGATACATTCAGATTTAGTTCTACTATTTTATTACTGGTTTCTATGATGGTCATCTTTTATTTTCTGGTCCTTATGTTGGCCATCTTTCATTTTTTGGTCCTCTGATCTCCCTTCCCTGCCTTCTTCTTAATTACTTGAATATATTTTTAGAATTCAATTATTTCTTTACTAGCTTTTTACCTATACCTCTTTGTATCATTGTTAAGTGGCTGTTCTATGGCTTACAATTTATATCCTTTATAATGAACAATATATAACAGTATACTTCAATTTTTGTAGCATTTTGTGTAAAATATAGAAAACTTGCAATCATATAACAGGTCACTATCCTGTAATTACAGTTGCCATCTGAATTAATATACACACAGATTAAAAATCCATAAATAATTTTATAATATTTGCTTTAAAGGGTAAATTATATTTTGAAGAAATTTTTAAAATAGGGCTTTTTTATATTTACTCATAATTTAACATTTTTAATGCGGTTTGTTTATGATGAAAGATTCAAGCTTTTCATCTGGTATAATTTCCTAGTTTCTCTTCAGCCTGAAGAGCTTTTTTTTTTTTCATTAATAACATGTTTTTTGGAGTGTAGGTTTGACAGAAATAAATTTCCTTAGTTTTTCATTTAAATATGTATTTATTCGATATTAATTTTTGAAACACGTCTCACTCATTTTAAATTATGAGATGAGAACTTTATTTATTTATTTTTTACCTCTGTAAAGGTTTCTTTTTCTTCCCTGCTCTCTTTTGTTCTTCATGGGTTTCTGATGGGAAGTCTGTTTTTATTCCAATTATTACACCTCTAAAATCATATGTTATTTTCACTGAGTAGTTTAAAATTTTCTCATGCTTTTGACTTTGAACATTTTGAGTATGATTATCTACAAAATATATTCTGAATTTGTCTTATTTGGCATTTGCTCAACTATTAAATTTAACATCTTGTTCATTTACCAAAAATGGTAGTTATAGTCATTATTTCTTCAAGCAGCTCTTCTGCTCCATTTTCTTTCTCTCCCCTTCTGGGACTCAATTACCTATATGTTAAAACTTTTGACATTGTCTCATAGACTTCTTAGGCCCTGTTAGGTTGGTTAGAATTTTTAAAATCTCTCTCATCTTTTGGTTTAGTGAAATTTATTGACAGATTTTCAAGTTCACTGGCCATTTTCTCTTTCATCTCCTTTCTCTTATTAAGCTTACTCAGTGATTTTATTTCAGATGTTTATTTATTTCAGTTCTAACATTTCACTTTCTTTTTTATATTGTCTGTATCTTTGCTAAGATTTTATACTCTACCTTGAAGAACAAAGTTATAAGAGGTGCTTTACTAGCCTCATACGATAATTCTAGCCTCTGCACCATCCTGATTGGCATCTGTTCATTATTAATACCTCGATATTGGGTCACATTTGCAGCCTTTCTATATTGAGTAATTTTGAATTGCATCCTGGATATCGTGAGTGTTAGTTATGCTGAATATATTCTGGATTCTGTTCTATTTTACCTCCAACAGATTATTGAAGGTGTTTATTTTGGCAGGCAATTTACTTACTGTCACACATATAGTGCATTGTAGCTCACATCTCACTTTTTTTTGTAATTTTTAGTTGTAAGTTGCTTTAATTTTGCCCACCATCCTCCATTCACCTTATGAATGGTCCCAGTGGTCAACCAGGAACTTACCTTGAGTTTATGCACTGAATTAAGGGTTCCTTTTTCCTGGTCTCTCCTTTCTGTCTTTGACTCTTTGGGAGCCATTGTTACCCCAGAGCGCCGTCACCTGTTTTTTTTGTTTGTTTGTTTGTTTTTGTTTTTTTGATGAGAAGTCATTTTTAACCTATCTCCACTGCAGCAGCAGCTATCTTAAGGATAAATCACCAATAAAATAGGGATTTTACGCTATGCTGCCCCAAGTTTTGATTCCCCTTTAGAAACTCCCTGCTTGCTTCATCCTCCAAAGCCCTCAGCTAGTTGTGTTTTTGATTTTATCCAGCATTTAGTTATTTGTGTAAGGATTGTTTTTTTAAGAGCTTACTCTTCAATTTCAAACACCCAAACTTCCTGTTCAATAATTTTTGAAAACCTAAGATGATAATGTAATAACTTTCTCTCAGATGAATAAGTATTTTAATAGATTTTCTAAAATCCAGTAAAACATACTTTGGAAAAGGACAATAAAAGTTTTTCTTAAAATTTTTATTTACATATCAACTTAATTAAACGTGTTAGCTGATTTCCATGTATATATGGAAGATCAGAGAACTAAATTCTTCAGGTAATCTATTTTTGCACATCTTTGGGAAAAAGATTTCTGTTTGATTGCCTCTAAAGCGTAGCTCATTCACATTTAATTATCTTAAGAATAGGCCACTTGTAACATTAATCCACAAAGCTGAATTTATAATTTGTAAGAGATGGCACCTTTGAAGTTGACATTTCTTTTATATCAATGAGATTGCAGCTGCAGATGAAGTGCAAATGGCAAATTATGCAAAATAAAATAATCACGAGGGGAAACTTCAGTTGAATATTTCTGTTTGATTAATAATCTATCAGCAGATACCATCTAATTTAAATTTGCACAAAAGCATAACTGCTGTTGAAAAATTGCTGCTGTTTAACGGGGACACAAATTCACATTTCTTTCCCTCCTCCTCTTTGTGTAGCCAACGATTGCAGTTACTTGGTTTTGAATTGGGCTTTTTAGAGTTAATGCCTTGAAAATAGAAAAATAATAAAAAGCTTTCCTTCATCCTATTTATGCCTATTCACCTGCTTATCATCTTCAAGTCTTTTCTAGGTCCTATGAGACTAGAATCATTATTCAGTTTTGCCCAGTTACCTACTTCTTAAAAGAGAAATGTCATTCAGATTCTTTAAACTATAGCGGATAGTCATTGTTCTGGTTTGTCAAAGACCACCTTAAAGTGGTGACTAGAATTGAAAAGAGAATTTATTTAAGTAAGCGTGATGAATCTAACTTTTCTCATTATCTGGACTATAAAATGTCATTAAGGTTTCCTAAGATTCAATTAGGTTTCTTTGTTTTTTAAGGGGTTGGTTTCTTTATGCGTTTTGTTTCTGTAGCAACCCTATCACTCTTGTAACAGCACAACACAAACACCAGTTACCCAAATATAAAAACATAATTAAAAGCTATGCCTTTTTCACATCAGATAATGCCAAGTCTGGGATATATTACCTGATTCTGTAACGTAGATAAATACCTTAAATGCATTGTTATTAAAATTGACCACAGTGATAAAATTTGACCACTTGACAGAAATTCTACCCTATTAAAGACTAATCTTTAGAGAGAAAAGAAAAAAAATATTACTTGGGTTAATGAGCTTGGATGTGGATTTAGAAGGTCTAATTCCCAACTAGTTGAATAACAATAATTGTATCACTTTCTTTTTTTAAATGGAGACGGAGTCTTTCTCTGTTGCCGGCTGGAGTGCAGTGGCACGACCTCAGCTCACTGCAATCTCCGCCTCCCGGGTTCAAGCGATTCCCCTGCCTCAGCCTCCCAGGTAGCTGGTATTGCAGGTACGCACAACCATGCCTGGCTATTTTTTTTTTTTTTTTGTACTTTAATAGAGACGGGGTTTCACCATATTAGCCAAGATGGTCTCAATCTTCTGACCTTGTGATCCGCCTGCCTTGGCCTCCCAAAGTGCTGGGATTACAGGTGTGAGCCACCGCGCCCGGCCAATTGTGTAACTTTCAACAACTCATTTGACCTCTAAAATTTCTGTTTCTTTAATTGTAAAACTAGATTTTTAAATTAAATCACCTGTATCTTCTCTTTTATTCTAAAAATGGACATTTTCATGAATAAAACCCCACATTGTAAGCAGAAACTTAACAGTCTCTAAGTAAAATTCTGTTTGTCAATAGGTCTGAGTACTCCAGGCAATGATGACTCTCATGATCACCTTCACCTGGATGTGTTTCCAGAGATCAAAGAACTATCAGACACAGTCTCTGTCCTGAAGAATCTGATTATCTTTATACAATGACAGAGTTATACATTGAGAAACATAATGAATGGTTTAAAAAAATGCTCGAACACATTTCCAAAGTAAATGCTCATTTTTAGCACAGAATCTTTTAAAGACCTTACAATCAAATTTATATCACATTAGTCCATTTCAACGCCATATTTTCTATTTATCGTTACTTCTGTGTCCTATAAAGGAAATGATATCATTCAACATTCAAAAGCATCTTTTAAAAAAATTATTTTTTTAGTCTTTCTATTTGCTCTTTGGAGTCATATAAATTTCTTTATTTTTTCATTCTTCTCTTTCATGTAAAGTTGCTGATTTTATAATACTAAGATTTCATAAAAGAAAAAGACCTTCCTCTCAGACAAATGTTCTATGTGAGGAAAAAAATACACCTGTTTGCAAGGTGACATTTCTTTGAGGGCTCACTCATGGCACAGCCTGGGGATACACAGACCACGGGCCAACATCTGTGGGGAACTCAGAGCTTTGCTAATTGCATTCATCATATTTTCTGGGGATTCACTTAGTGCTCTGAAAAAGCCAGATAATTACTGGTTATTTAAAAAATTACTTTGAAAGAAATACACATAAAGCATATCCCTCTCTTAATTCTTTGAAATAATTTCCAAAAATTATAATTATTTTTAAATAAGTTAAAAGTAAATTTAAGGGAACTGAAAATTATTAAGGTTCTTGATTCTTGATGCTTATTGGCATGTTACCTTCGGAAAGTTGGTGCATTTGCCATTCTACCTGACGTTCTACCTGACATGTTTAAGGGTCATAGTTCTCTTTATCCTTGTCAACATGCTGAATGTTATCATTTAAAAAATAAATAAAACTGTGTGTGTGTGTGTGTGTGTGTGTGTGTGTGTGTGTGTGTGTGTGTATAGTCATCTGCAAGTTGAATGTGTTCTTTGGAGAAAAAAAGGTCTATGTTTGAGTCAAAAATTCCATCATCAAGACACAGCCTGTGGTCTCATATTTTCTTCAGTTGGTGACAAGGATCTGTGAATTGTGACTTGGAACAGGTGGGCGCACACCCACCCCCCGCCCCGCCACCCCCCCAAAAAGAAACAAAACCCAACTCTAGTCTTCATGACAGTGGCAGTGACCAGGAAAATAGGACAGATCTGTTTTCTCAGCTTTCTCTGCACTCCCCAGTGTCTAGAGAGGAAGGTAAGCAAGGGTGTAAGCTCAGGCCCTGGTGTAACGTTTGGGCATAACAGAGCTGGGCTGGAACTTGGCCTCTCCACTACTGTGTGTTTTCGTTGTTGTTGTTTTTTTTTGTTTTTTTTTTTTTTGGATTTCTTGACAGCTCTAACCACGTAAACCTAATAGCAGAGAAAAGGAGTAAGTGTCAGCCCTGCCATGTACAACGCTGACATATTTTAAAAGCAAACCTTTGTTCAAAATAAATCTTAACCATTTTAGAGCACTGCTATTTCTTCACTGGAATTTGGATCAGAGAACAAATCCAGTCCACTGACAAGATGTGAGAGAAACACAAGAGTTTCTTTATTCTGTAAGATAAAATATTTATGAGATGATTTTTATCAGAAGGCACTTATTATGTAGCAATCTTTACAGACTCTATGCTTGCTGCAGAGTTATCTATGCAAAATTTAAACTAAAGGAAACCTAGGTGTTTACATCTTAAGAAAGACATACATTTCAACCAACAGAACATGTGTTATAGAGTTGTGTTTTATAAAGGTAGAGTGGTAAACATACCTTAGGCTAAAGGAAGAAAAATGATAGGGATATGCTGCAAGCTGAATAAACCTCCCTTCTAGCTGTTTTTTTTTTTTTTTTTTTTTTTTTTTAAGATGGTAGCTTTTGAGACAGTGCTATCTTTCAGGATATTCAGATTCCCTTTCAAACAAATGAATATTCTGTGCCCTGATTGCATGTTTTGTTAAGTTGGGTGATGACAGTGGATTCTTAGGGTTGTCCTCCTGAGAGAGTAGCCCCAACTCTATTTTCGGAGTTTTTCTATTCTCTAGTCTTTGTATATGCCACAGACATTTGGTCTCTGAGTCCTCAGTCTTATAACAATAGATCTTAAGCTTTGTTATCTAAAAAACTATCCAGCTTCTGATTTAAAACCAAGCTGCCTAACTGTAATTCTCATATCTGTTATTTCTTCTAAGATCTCAGAGGAATGCTCTCAACCTGGACTATTTTAGCTCATTCAATAGAACATAACAGCAGTCTCTGAGCCTGAGCTGGTTAGCCACCATAGTTCTGTTCTGTCAGGGTAATTGCTATCATGATTCACAACTAGTGTCTCTTTTCTTCAAGAAACTGTCACTCAGATTTACCCTACCTTCTTCACCTAAATCCAATTCTTTAGATCATAACCTAAATCTAAGCCTTTTTCATTTCACAACCCTACATCTGCAAGGTTCTTTTAATTATTCTCTGACTGTCTTTCAGTTTTCTAACATCGACAGTATAGCCTTGCATACTTTTCATGAGGTCATTTGCTTTTTGAAAACATAAGTAGCCACCTCCTTCTTACCATACTGCAAAAACTCCTGTGTAAGACTGTTTAGGTCATTTAAAGTCTGCACATCTCCAATTTCTTCTCTTGTACTTACCACAAGAATTTAAGAAAACATTAATTACCGAATGATTTATGATATTTTCAGTTGCATTTTACTCTAATTTGATATATCTTTATAAGCCATTGCTAATTTGTTATAACTTACTGCATAAAGAGAGTTTGATAGAGGGTTTCATGATCTCTCAACAAAATACGAAGATAGGTAGATGATAGTAAAGTTACAGAGAAAACAATCTCCAATATTCACCTGCTCTATAGGACTAGGTCATGGAATACCTTTACAAAATAAAGAAATTTGGAGATTGTCTTTTTTGGCAAATAATGATTAACATGCATTTTTTTGGATAGAATCAATTTTTGGGATGTCACAAGGGTTATATAATTTAATGCTGATAAGAAACATAATAGTATCACTGTTTCTCTCATTTTGAAAATGAGAAGACTGTGAGCTAGAGAGAATACATATATCATAATTTTTCTAAGATGAACAAAAAGATCAAAATTTTAAACTCTTATCACCCCAGGCTATCTCTGTAAATGATCTTTTTAATTTATTACCTGCTTTTGGTATATATTTCCCCAGTTTTGTATGATTTGCAGCTTTTTAAAATATTCTGATTCTTTCCATTCTAAGCAAAGAAGAAGTGCATTTTTCTCCAGAATGTAAGGGAAGTACTCGGCATTTGATCTTAATTTCGCTTTTTTTACAGTGTAGAATGAACTACAGATAAGAGGGGTGGAAAGAAAGAAAAGGGAGAGAAAGCCAACATGAGCAAATTTCTATTAATTGTCAGATCATGACACATTCCAGCCAAGAATGTTCCTATCTTCTTATCAACAAAAGTAAAATTTACTCTCTCTCTCTCTTTTTTTTCTCTTGTAAAAATAGAAACTTCTGACTTGCCTTTTAAGCTCAAAATCAAACATTTCTGGAGCACCTAGTATGTGAGAGGATCATTTTCTCTATCAAACATCTTCCCAACAATATTATGAATGCAAAGTATTATGCAGAATTGTCAAATAAACTTTAACAAGTTATGTATCTGATCCAGATTCACAAAGAAATCCAAACTCCAAGTTATCATGACTTCAAACTTCTATGCCTTTGATATTTTATGTATCACTAGATGATATTGTGTCTTTCAAATTCCTAATGTAGAATTGTTGGTAAAATGAAGCTCTCTAGCCAAATTTAAATTGACCTACGAGTTAATAAAAATGTGCTAATTTCTAATGCAAAATCTTATTTAGCATTTTTAATAACTAAAACATTCCTATTGATATTTGCTCACAAAATTATTTTATTGTCTAAAAATAAATTGCTCAGTAATGTTTGTTTTTAAGCATTGATAATAATTTGAGGTGGAGTCTTAATTCTTGAGAGAAAAACCTGTTCTTAAAATCCTGCAGGGCAAACTCAAGCATTAGACCTTTATTTCTCAATATGTTCTTTCGCTTTTTTTAAATGAAATTGCCAAAAAAAGAATAGATTCAAATTTAAACTAAAAGTCTAGAAGCTAAAACCAAGCTAAACAAAATAACACTACATTAAAAATATAAGTAGATGAAAATGTGCTATATTTTCTTGTCCACTTCATCCTGTGTAACTTGTCACTGAGCACCCATTAATTTCTTTTAAATTGTTTCCTTCACTTTCCTCTTGAGAGCTGGAGTGTTGAATCTAGCAGCAGATCACAGCTACTTATAAACACTTGGCTGAAGGACTCTCAAATTCTCTGCAAGATTTTGAGTAAAGTGAACCTAGGAATTCTGAAGGGACACCCTTTAGTCAGTAAGGAAAGAGCGTTCATCTATTCCTTAGACTTGTTGCTGCTATCACAGAAGTCAAAGTTAAAAACACAGGGTATGAATACCAGTACTAATTTCCTGGACTGATTATCAAGGAGCTGTCCTCTTTCATGGTCAGAGGCTAATATAAGCACTCCTACAACAAAAGCAGGAAGCTTTGTTTCTATTTTCTTACCCATAACAATCTTTGTCCTTTATTGATATGGGAGATAAAAAGTGGTGACAATATCAGACAAAAGGAAAGAAAAGAATGCGAGCTTTCATTTTTCCTCTCCTGCCTTGATGAGAAGCAGTCAAATGCAACCAAATGCCCTTGGCCATGTGAGGTTGGGATAGCTCTTAATTAGTCTGCAACTCCAAACTATCAAAAGGTAGGGAAGGCAAGGATCCTAGGAAGAAAAACCAAATACTCACAGACAATTAAAAACTAAAGCCTAATAGTTGATTAATGAAATGATGTCAGCCTGCATGAAGTGCCCTTATGACTTTGTACGAATCCCTTACGCTGTCTTAATAACTTGGATACTGATGTCAAAGAAGGTGTGCTTATCATTTTTGGCAAAGGCATAACTATGAGAGACAGAGTTAATATATTTGAAAAAATAATGCAAATTTAATTCAAACATTTAATAATAATATAAGAAATTAGATGTTTTCTCACAAGATAAATTTAACATAGATAGGGATAAAAGCCCACATTTAGTAAAAGGGAACATATGAAAGCACACATATTTACACAGATATATAGGGAGAGATGCTACTTAACAACTGTTTATGTACAAAAAATACATGAGCGTTTTAGTTATTTTTAGCACAACACGAGTCAATAGCATTATGTGGCTACTGAAAGCATTCTCCTATAATTTCAGTTAGCACTTTTAGAAATTGTGCTAAAGTAAAACAAGAAAATTGTTCTATTGCATTCTTTGTCATATCCTTTAGCATTTATTATAACTCAGTATCATTAATTCATTTTTTACTTATTTAATGTGAATCTGTTCCATTAGATTGTATGCTTCATATCACACTTGTTTTATTCACTAATCCTTGTTCAACCTATGCCTACTACAGTACATGGTCCAAGATGTATGTCCTTGGTGTCTTATATATAGTATATGAGGAAAATTTGGTGGGGTAATGTAAAGGAAGTAGACGCCTGGGTGGAAACGACATACATTATATCCCAGGAAACAGGCCCAGAATCAATATGTAGAAACCAGAGAATGATTAACTTAAAGTCTTAAAGATTAATTTTAGAATACTTAGAATATCATATGTTGTAACTATTCTAAAGTTTATAAGTAGTCCAAAATGGAGTAGACTAGACTTCTGTTTAAACATGGTGGAATAATAATACTTTTCTTTCTATGGCCTAAGAGACACCAAGTCAGCTGAGGGCACAAGCACTAACAAAACAGGAAGACAGTGATGATTAAATCCTTATTCTGGCTGGGCGCAATGGCTCCTGCCTGTAATCTGAGCACTTTGAGAGGCAGAGGCGGGCAGATCACTTGAGGTCAGGAGTTTAAGAGCAGTCTGGCCAACATGGTAAAACCCCATCTCTACTAAAAATACAAAAATATTAGACAGGCATGGTGGTGTGGGCCTATAATCCCAGCTATTCAGGAGGCGGAGGCGTGAGAATTGCTTGTATCTGGGAAGCAGAAGCTGTAGTGAGCCAAGATTGCATTGCTATACTCCACCCTGGGCAACAGAACAAGACACCGTCTCAAACAACAACAATAATAACAATAACAACAAAAAACAGACAAAAAAAATACCCTGCCTGCCAAACGTACTCTGTCATGAAGAAAATTGGAAGGCTTTTATCCAAAAGTGGGACAAACCAAGAGAAAAGATGCGACATTGCCATGTAGTTGTTCCAAATAAAATGGGGACAATTATTTGGAACAACTAATGTTGTTCTGGTCACTCTACAGCAAGGATCATCATTCCTCAAACTATGTGATAAGAAGTTCCAACAAGCCTTTAGCATCTCTTTCTTAAATATTAATGGATATTCAGTGATGATCAGATATGTGAGCAGAGCTTCTAACATGAAAGGAACAATAGTAAGAAAACTAAAGAAATAGAACATGAAAGTGGGGAGTATAAGAAGAAAAATATTAATATCCAAAATGAAATTTTAAAAATTCTTTTGTTAATGACAAGATGATATCAAAAGGAACATAGAATCCATATAAATTATGTTAGACAAAGTTGAAGACATTGAAAAAGAACAAGAAAACTTAGGCATATAATATAAAAGGAGAAATATAAAACAAATAAAAGATCAATTCATAAAGATCAAGACAAATTCCAGGAAGAAAGAACCGAGAAAATGGGAAAGAAACAATCTATGAACAATAGATGGAGAAAAAGAAAATGATTTCTGCTAGGGCACATCATTATGAAATTCCCAAATGTAGAAAATAAACTATTCCAAAGAAGAAACAGCAGATTTGAAAACAGAGGATGGAATCTCAGAAAGGGTCTTCATAATGGCAGTATTAGACATTAGAAGACATTAAATAAGCATCTTCAAAATACTGAGGCAAAATAATTAGCAAGCTAGTGATCCATATCTGGCCAGCAGAGCTTATTAGAATGAAGACATCTTCAGACACACAAGATCTCAAAACAATAACTTTCTCAGGAAACTACTAGACAATATGTTGCGGGAAAAAAAAGGATGAAAATCACAAAGAAAGTTGATATGAGATTGATGTCTAGGAATCAGAGGATCCATCACAGGAGAGATGAAAAAAGAGTCATCAGGAAGATAGTGAAGGGATATTCCAGGATTCCATTTTTTAGCAGTCCCAGAGAGTAACTAACCCAGATAAAAAGAAGAGAATCGTAAGCTCTCACAGTGAAGTGTTCAAGCTAAAAATAAGTGTAAATAAATAAATAAATACCTCTCTTCTCCCCCACCAAAAACAAAAAAAACAAAAAAACCCTGCTAAAATACCAGACCCTACTGTGACATTTCCATTCTACTAGTAGAGTTTGGGGATAAATTCGTTGTCATTACAGAGAATAGTAAGAAAAAATTTCAGGAAGAATGAGTCATTAACCTTAGTGAAACCAATATTGTATCAAGTAAAACAATGTAATTAATGGCTCAGCTGTGAATAATATTTATAAGGTCATGAATAGTGAAACGACTGAAAACTGATTAATTTTAAAAACTGAAATATGCCATATTGAATGGTTGGAATGAATAGTTAAGAGCTACACCATCATTTCCATTAATCAGAAATTAATACAGAATATCTAAAATTACAAAATCAAGAAATGATGTACAACAGTTATCAATTGCAGAATATTCAAACGTTTTGTAGCTTAAAACATTAAGTATTTATTATCTTACATAGTTTCTGTGGTCAAAAACATGGTACTGGCTTCAGTGTGTGAACTGAGTCTCTCATAAGGTTAAGGTTAGGATGCCAGCCAAGCCTGCAGTCAGTAAGGCTTGACTGGTACTCAAGGATCTGTTTACAAAGTGACTCAGTCACATGGATGGCAAGCACATACTACTGTTGGCATGAGGCCTCAGTTCCCCTCACCCCCCCATGGACCTCACCTGCATAAGACTCAAGATATGGCGGCTGCATTTCCCCAGAGTAAATGATTCAAGAAAGGGCCTGTAATAGGGAAATGTCTTCTATGACTAGTCTTAGAGGGTACAAGTTGTTATATTCACAGTATACTATTAGTTACTGAGATCAACCCTATTCATCATGGGAGAGGACTTCATGTGGGTAACTTACCATGGGGAACAGAGGATGATATGGGCCAGCTTGAAGGCTATGTACCACAAGCAGTATGAGTGTGTGTGTGTGTGTGTGTGTGTTTTCAACATGAAGTGAAGTTTAAAACGATTTGCATTACAAACATAAAAGAGCTACATGGGCAGAGATCCTAGTACTTTTAAAAGAACTGTTTTATAATTATCCATGTGAATGAAACTACAGGTCTGGGACCTTCTTTTCCTGAAATGCTTGTATATATTGGGCAGCTTAATTTGTTTACTTTGTTATTATTGTAAGAGATCTTGAGTAACCTGACAATAAGCTATATGTGCTCTTTAAATTCTATATATCTGCTCTCCAGTACCACTACCTTGGTGCAGGCAGAAGTGAGTACTTGGAATTGGCTTTTTGTATTATTATTTTGAAAAGAAAGAAGAAGAAAATCAGTAAACAATAGTGTCCTAAATGAATATCTTTAGAAATAACCCTTCTTAGTAGACCATTGATATTCTTCGGCATTTCAGGAAATTAATCCACCCACTTGATAATGGTTGAAAATTGGTATCTTAAGACACAGTTGTTTCTCCCAACATATCGATATTATATCAGACTGATGTATCTTGCATTCTCCCAGTAAAAAGGAAATAGAATTTTAATAAAAGCCAGATTGTGCAACTAATACTCTGGAATTGTAGTGCATTTTTTAAAATCTTCATGCAGGAAATGAAAGAGAAAAAAAGAATCCAGATCCTAACTTTTCAGTAGAAGAGTGAAATGTAAAATGATTTTAGAAAATAGATTATTTTCAAATTTGTATTCTTCACTTTTGAAGAAGAGCGTATTTTCCTCCTGGATACATAATTTGGAAACATATTTCAAAAACCGAATCTTAATCTATGCAATGAACATATCAAAAAGTAAATTACTATCTTCAAGGGAATGAAATATCATATTAGAGAAGCACACTCTAGCACCACAGTAATTATGGCTTTGCCAACATTTCTGTGCAAAGTCTGATTCTGAAACAGTTTTTTCTTACCCCACACAGCCTTGTTTATGTAAGAATTTAGTGTTTACCCCAACCTTCAAATACAAGTTGACCTATTGTTTTACTTCTTTAAGTGAAACTTTTTGGGACTATATGACTTTCTAACTTCCTCCAGAAATATGTATGGTTCTGGATTTCCTCCGTGCTTCATCTACTGTAGCTTACAGAAGAGAATGTTATAGAATTATTGCATTTTAGAATCGAACTTTGAAGCATGTTACTGAAGCCATATCATGATGGGGGAGCAGTCCAGAAATATTTTTAAAGCACTAGTCTTGGAGTCAGAAGCTCTGTGTTAGCCTACCTACTTATTAGTAGGGTTGCCTTGATGAAGTCACTTGATTTTCTGAAATATTTCTCTCTCTCTCTCTCAAAAATCTGTAAAATGGAAGCAACAAACTCAATGGCTTTTAAGATCTTTGTAACCTCCAGTGTTACTCAAGTTTGAATAGAGAGAGAAGGTGAGAAACAAATCTAGAATACACATCTCCTAACTCCCAGTTTGGCATATTCACAAATGTTAGATTTATGATGATTAGTGAGAAAATATAACTATTCCAAATACATTTCTAGGTATGTGAGATATATTACAATATGGAAGGAAAATGATACCAAATTGTGGCTCTTCTCTATGGCCCTCATCAGGGAACTATTCTGAAATAATAGGACATGTGTCTAACCAAATCCATATTTTTATATGCTCATCAGCTTCTAACTATGTACTTGACTTGATCTATTCTTAATGTCACCAAATTAACATCTTGAGGAAGCATGAAATTTTCCAAAAAGAATCTATGAGCATTTGGTGGCTATTTGCCAGAAATATTTCTCCTGGACAAAAGATGGAAAGCCATTCTGGAAAGCAAGAGTGTTTTATTAGAATACAGCAGTGCTTTAGTTTAATGTGATCATTACCCTTGTAAGTTTCTAATCAACTATTTGCAGGATGGTTTTACAAATATGGTTTGACTAACCTCAAGCCTTATTTTTTGCATGCGAAATCTACTAAAAAATGCAACATTATCATTATTGCATTTACATATTTCTTCCACATGTATAACAAAGTAGAATGTATCTCCCTCGTTCTTACCAAAAACCTCTAATATAGTGACGTGTTCTGCCAAAATGTAATAAATGAGAAAGCATATGCTTTGCAGGCAGACATACTGGGTATTTGGAATCTCATTTCTGCACTTCTTAGCTATTATGTTCCTGGGCAAGATATTTAATGTCTCTGAGCCTCAGTTCCTTCCTCTGTGAAATGAGACTAATAATACTGCTCTCATAAAGCTGTATTAATATATATTCTAACTATATATGTGAAATTACATAAAATTATGAAATAGAGAGAGTGGTATATTTAGCTCCGTTAGATGCATTAAAATGCTAAACATCTGTATCTTTTTTTTTTTTAACCAGTTTTCTTTCAATCACGATAAAGTCATGACAACTGGTAACTTTAGGAATAATCTTACCACTAGGCAGGGTTGATAAATCAATTGTATAAAATGGTACATAAATCAAAGCCTATGTTTCTCTTTTTAATGTGTGTAGCCACAACTACTACATGACCTTCATGCTTTACTGCTGAGAGAATACATATTTAGACAAAAGCTCAAGGAGTTGCATTCTACTACATAACATGCAGTGGTTTGTTTCTGTGACTCGCTGTGGAAGTGATTTCTAGGAGCGCCAGATGCTTGGATGCTATTTTTATATAGATAGAAAGGGAATCCCTTCATTTATTGGATGTTCTTGGCATGGTATTGTGTGATTTGGTGCTTGACCAGGTGGGAGTCTCTTATTTATGAAGTTCAGAAAATTCCAGTGCTTAGCCAAGTCTCTACTGAATGCCCAGGATATACTTGAAGGTTAACAGTGGCATAAAGTATTAGTGTTTCCTGATTTTTATATGTGGATAGAATATCTTTTGGCTCTTGGTTTATACAGATTCTTGCATTATTCTCTCATGAGCTCAGTTCTTGGCCTTAATGCCCTTGAGTTCTTTAGGGCTACTTCCTCCAGCCTTTTTGTCTGACATCACTACTGCCTCTCCACGATGTAAAATCTGCACTGTGATTCAAAGAGATCCCCTGCATATAGCAGAGTCATTCTTCCAATGGTTTCCTCTTTCTTTTTCATTTCAATTCCCACAAGCCTCCATCTTCAGCAAGTCTGTTGCTGACAGGTTGAACAAATACTGCTAAGATATATTTATTCTCTGAGACCCTTTTTCACTTAGAGTAAATATGTTACTGTCTCAGTTCATGTTCCAGCAAAACGCAGACTCTAAGGTATGGATTTCAGTACAAAGAGATTACTTGGCAGGTGATCTTAAGAAATACCAATGAGAAAGTGGGATAAGGAAGAAAAGGTACAATAAAGGATCCTTTGGGAAGCCTGCTAGCACTGTGGGCAACTGAGATTGAATCCTTTGGGGAGCACTGGAGAATACTTAACTGAGAGTGACTCCCATGCCTCTCCACAGGAGGGAAAATAGTATACTCAGTCCCTGATTTAAAGCTGATCCCAAAGGCATTAATTACCAATAATTCTGTAGACTGCTGATGGAGAGATCCAAAAAAGCTTTGGGGCAGAGCAACACAGCTGTTCAGCTGGAATTCAGGGCATGCACTGAAATGGTAAGAGACAATGGGATAGGAGCAGATAACCAAAGTGTCTACCATAATCACCTTTAAAACATGCTTTATGCAATTATAGAATTGGAAATTATTTTAGAGACCAGCTCTCAGCTTATGAGTCACAACAAGGTTATTGATAATATCGTAGGTGGGATAATTCTTTATTGGGCAGAGTTAGCTCCGTACATTGCAGGATCTACCACTAAGCACCAGTCAGACACCCAGTTATTTTGACTGCACAAATAACCATTTATATTTTCAAGTGCCCCTCTGTTGGTCAACATTTTCTCTGAGCACCACAGTTTTATAGGGGAAGGAATTTTTTTTGTTTTTGGTTTTTGGGACTGAGTCTCACTTTCTTGCCCAGGCTGGAGTGCAATGGCGCCATCTCAGCTCACTGCAACTTCCGCCTCCTGGGTTCAAGCAACTCTCCTGCCTCAGCCTCCCGAGTAGCTGGTATTATAGGCATACGCCACCACACCAGCTAATTTTTGTATTTTTAGTAGAAACGGGTTTTCGTTATGTTGGCCAGGCTGGTCTGAAACTCCTGACCTCAGGTGATCCTCCCACCTCGGCCAGGCGTAAGCAACCGTGCCAGGCTAGGGGGAGGAATTCTAACTTGGCAAGGCTAAGAGACCTGCTAAAAGGCAATTGGCAACCAGTGTCCACGTCTCCAGAATTATCATAGAGAGAAAACAGAAACCTTCTTTTTGAGGGAGATCATCTCTGAGATATTTTTACCTGGGTAGCAGTGAATCCTGGATACACAGAAATATAATATAATATTTGAGTGAAATAAGTATTAAATTATTATGGGAGCTAAACAAATTGCCCTCAATTCCCTATCTGTGCATTTTTATCTGCTTTTAAATAATATAAATTATTATTACCTATGTCCACATGCAGAGGCAGAGGAAAAGAGAATCCCTTTAAAATGATTACAAGCCAACAAAATATTTGCAAGTGAAAACATATATTTTGGGGGAACTGCCTTGTTATTTTAAGTTTACATTATACCTACTTTAATTCCAGAATGTCATTACAGAGGAAAAAAAAAAGCTTGATTAGCTGAGTAACATCACTTTTTTAACCAATGCACTCTCCTACTGCTTAGTTCCTTACAGCTGGATAAGTGGGTAACCTTTGTGTCCATAGATTCTTAGGTAGATGGAATCTATTGGGAAAGGAAATCAATTTTACACATATACATACACATATTTTTAAATTTCAGACTGTTTTTATCTAAAATAGAAGCACGGATTTTGAGTCCCCCCAAAATGGATATTATTTGTCTCATTCGATGGACTTACTATAAATTCTAGAATGGCGGGATGTTATGAACGGCATCGCACATGCTACACAAACACAAATTCTGCTCTTACGATTACACCATTACAAGATAAATGTATTCTCAAGTAGCTGCAGTATTCTATTAAAATGTAGACACAAGCAGAATCATTTTTATTAAGAAAAAAAGCAGAGCAAAGCATTTAAAATATAAATAAAATATAAAAACAATTGCTTTCCTATTAAATACAAAACTAGAGAGCACTGTTTCAAATTGGTAAGTCATATCTGTTTAATATGATTGCAATTATTTATGGGGATTAGGAAAATTAATGTCAAATCTAATATTTTCGAAAAATGGAAGACTCAATTAATTAACCAGACATTTCATCCTGGAATCCTATTTCTTTTTCTTTCCAGAGGGAACCTAAATGGAGATTATATTAGAGAATTAAGTTTGACAGTTAATTTATGAAGAACTAATATTATAAGTATCAATTAAATAGAGGTGAGGGATATATGGAATTAGTTTGAGTTGTTAAACTGACCATTTCAAAAATTAGAAGTATTTTATCACTAATACAGATTTGAGAAATTATTAGCAATTCTAAATTATTCAGATTTGCTTAAATTCAATGATTATGATTTAGATGAATTAAGAAAGTTACTCAGTTTGTTTAAACTGTGGAAGTTAACTTTAGTGTCCCAAACCTGGGACATTAGCTTCATTTTATTTCGGCTATGCCAGGATATATTTGAAGCTCGTATTCTGTACAACAGTGTATACTATTGTAGAGAATGGGGATGGATAATAATAATAAAATATCACTTTGTCAGTAAATAAATATTCACTGAATGATAATTGTGTGCTAAGGAATTTATATGTATATTATCTCATTCAATTCTCATAAAATCTGTGTGATAGGGCCCAGTATAGTTTTCTGTTTTCCAATTGAGGTAACTGGGTCACAGAGAATGAAGCCTCGCAACCATGGTTATGCCGCTACTATGTAAGGAATTTGCTTTAATCCCCCAGTATCCCTACTCTAATCTAAGTCAGAATCTAGACATGCAGATCAATACAAATACATTTCAGCCTAAAAAAAAAAAACTCTGAAAGCACATTTCCAATTTTGCCAGCAGTTAGTTATTCATCTACAGAAGCTATTAGTCCCAGTTTGTAACATTAGCAAAAATTAATTTTCAGTCTTTTTCTTATAGTTTGTCTTGGTAGCTTTTGACAAAGTTGGCCATAACCTCTCTCTGGATAGGTGACAAGGTGCAGTAGTGCACCTTGTCTTTCAGAACAGCAATACTCTTCTGGTTGACCTCTTATTCCTTTGACAGTGACTTCTCTGATTCCTTTAGAGGTGTCTCTTTTAATTTCTAAAAAATGCTGATGGTTTTAATGTGTTATTTTTATGACACATATCCCCCTTGGGAAATTGCTCTTGTTCAACCACCGTCTCATGCTACTGACTGCAGTGTAGACTGCTCTATGTTCAATCATCTACTGGAAACCACCGTTGAAAGCTTGAGGTGCATAACTTAGACTTATATTTTCTCAAACCTGCTCTCATACTCACTTACCCTCACTAGAAGTCCTCTTTACTCCTCCCTCTTTTTTACATGTCCCCATGTTAAATTTCATTATTCAGTCTTGATTCATTGATTAATTATTTATAATTTATAATTTTATATTTTAGAATTTTTTTCAGGTGCTGGGGATACAATTATAGACATGATTAAGTACTAGTTTCATGAGGCTTATACAGTAGTTACCCCCTTAACCATGGAGGGTACATTCCAAGACCCCCAGTAATGCTTAAAACCATGGATAGTACCAAACCCTGTATGTATGTATGGGTATATATATATTTTTTATATATATATATATATACACACATAGCATATATGTATATGCTATGAATACATGTATACATATATGCTATGAAAACATGTATACATATATATTTATGCATAACACGAATGAAGAATGCATAACAAGAATGGAGCAATGCATTTAAAATATAAATAAAATATAAAAACATTACTTTCATATTAAATACATATATGTATGCATAACAATATTTTGGTAAACTATAGACTACATAAAGACAGTAGCCCTATAAGATTATAATAAGATATTTTTACTATATCTTTTCTATGTTTAGATATGTTTAGATACACAAATATTTACCATTTTGTTACAATTGATTACAGCTTTTAGGACATTAACATACTGTCCTAGGAGCCTAGGATCAATAGGCTATACTACATAGCCTAGGTGTGTAGGAGGCTAGACCACCTAGGTTTGTGTAAGTACACTCTATGATGTTTGCAAAACAAAATCACCTGAAAACTAACTTCTCAGAATGTACCCCCATCATTAAGTAATGCATGACTGTGCTGTTTTTTCCTTTATGTCCATACCTATGATAAAATTTAAGATATAAATTACACACAGTAGGAAATTAATCACAATAACTAATAATAAAATAGAACTATTGTAACAATATACTGTAATAAAAGCCATGTCATTGTGGTCTCTCTCTCTAATTTTATTGTACTTTACTCACCCTTCTTCAGATGACATGAAATTACAAGACACCTATGTGATAAGATGAAGTGAGGTGAATGCTTTGGGCATTGTGACATAACATTTAAAACTTGAATTATTTCTGGACTTTTCCATTTAATATTAAGCTGCTGTTGACCTTAGGTAACTGAAACTGCGGAAAGCAAAACCAAGGATAAGGATGGTCTCCTGATGAGTTAGGGTTGAGAAAACAAATCTGTAAAGAAACAAATAATATGCTTTCTACTAGGGATGAGTGTTTTGAAAAAACATAAAACAGATGAGTAAATAAAGAGTGAAAAGGCATAGCATTTTATCTAAAATATACATTGAGTGCAATGTGTCAGTTGAGTGAACTATCTTGGTTGCAAAAGTCATTAAGGCTCTTAGGAGTCGTGAAAGCCTTCTGTGAGAAGGTGATTTTGGTCACAGTAATGAATGATGAAATGGTGGAATTAATGAAGAGTTGGTGAAAGAGACAAATAAGAAGGAAAGCAAGTTTAAAGGTTCTGAGGAGTGAACAATTTGGCACTTCCCATGGTTTCATTTAACTGTAAGATTTGCTTCCGAAAATATTTCTGTCTTTGGTATCACTTGTCTTACTAGGTACTGTAGGCTTTGGGCTTTTTCTAAATCCAGTATTCACTAAGCAGTCAGAGTTTCTGGTTTATCTACACATACAAATCCGTTTATATGATTTCAGTGCTTATACCTTTCTAGATTTCCATGTACAACTGTGCACTGCAAAACACTAAGGAATAGCATTCACTTAGACTAGGATGTAAGCATTACTCCATGGAGTTGTGTGACATGCTGGCCCTAAATTCCGTGCCATCGATAGCGGGAGGAAGTAGAAATCCTTTGACAATTATTTTCCTCTTGATCTAGGATACACCCTTTGCTGGAGTCTGATTTCTTATAATTTTCTACTACTACATGCTACATTGTGGTAGTTTATGGTTCTGTTACCCTAATTCCCTTCCTCCTCCCTGTAGTGACTTCCTTTTCTGGTTAACACGTTTTCATTCTTTGAACTTCAGCTCAGATAAAACATATGTGGAGCAGACTTGCCAAGTCTAGATTAAATACCTGTGGTGCAACACTGCCAAATTGAGAGACATTTGTCTCTCAATTTTTCATATCATTTGTAGTTTTTTTTTTTTTAAGACAGTCTAGCTCTGTCCCCCAGGCTGGAGTGCAGTAGCGTGATCTCGGCTCACTGCCTCAGCCTCCCCAGTAGCTGGGACTACAGGTGCGTGCCACCACGTCTGGCTAATTTTGTATTTTTGGTAGAGATGGGATTTCACCATGTTAGCCAGGATAGTCTTGATCTCCTGACCTCATGATCCGCCCGCGTCGGCATCCCAAAGTGCTGGGATTACAGACGTGAGCCATCGTGCCTGGCCCCGTTTGTAGTTCTAAAATTCAAGTCTGGATATATTAGTTCCCCGCTTAAAATGCCTCATGTCTTCCCACTTTCTATAATAAAAAGTCTACTATCCTTCGCATGACATTGCCTTTATTTTAAATCTCCTTACAATTCTCGCATCTTTTTCTTGAGAGTCCCATTGTCAAGTATACACTTACGGTTTCCTGACTAGGCCAAGTGGTTCCCAGCATAGCTCTGTGTAACCCTCTGGAATTCTACAGTCACCTGTCCATCTCCAAAGGCTCAGTCAAGTGTCACATACACTGTCAGGTTTTTTCTGACCCAGGCATAGAACTGCCCTTCTCAGTGTCTCTGCTTTTCTCTGTGTGGACTTCTATCACAACACCTATTATCATTTACTGAGTTTAGTCGTTTGTTTTTCTGTCTTCTTTTGTAAACTCATGGAGGATGAGACTTTATTTCTGAACAGTGGAGACAGCTGGCACCTGAGAGTTGCTTATTTGAGTAGATGAACGAGTGATTTAAAAAATTTGGGAAGGATATTGAAATGAACCTAATTGTGGTAATCATATTCTTAATAAATACAAACTGAGACAAAAGATTTATTCTGTGAATTTTGTTTTGCCCTCAAAATAAAGTAGTATCTCATTTCATACGTAGTATGTTGGAATGTTTTGCCATGGCTGCTATACTGATTGGCATTGCTCACTGCTGTTCGTTGCAATATACACCAGCTGTTTTTCAGCAGAATGAGTGGTACACCTTAAAAGCCAAGTCTTTCTCCCCGAACAGAGCGCTGGGCCAGGCTCAAATCTGTCATCTAATCACTCACTGTGTGCTGAACACTAGTCTGACTTTCCACGTGATCTTTCTACACTTTTTACACACACGCCCACACATTATTTATGCTCAAAAGAATGATCTGTTATGAGAGTACAGTGAATGTGTTAGTTTCAAGAGATAAGATTGTCCAGATTCAGAAACTTGTAGCTGTCATCTTCTAGTTTCCTCACTGCAAGTGTGGAGTAAGATTGGTATAACATTAGTTCATCATTCTTTTCAGATTAGAAAATCTTACATGGTCATCTGGGAGAACAGGGCAAAACAAAGGTCAAATGTTATGGCTAGAAATCAAGCCTGCAAAGCACCATCAATGGAAAATTTGTCATATTTTATGGAGAAACTATAATTCTTACAAATCTCTACTAACAGTTCTGGTTGTGTTGATGCTTTGGACTGTCTAGAGAGTCACACTCTTCTGTCCATTAACTTAAAAGCATGACTTTTTAGTATGTTCATTTCCCCATATGGGGTACAAGATTAGTAATATCGTCTTTTACCAGGTACTTTCTCTATGATCATGGACATTTGCCTATTCTAATCAGATCCCTGCATAGTTATTTAGGTAACTTCCTTGAAGAATATAGTACTAAGGCAGAATGACCATATAATTTATTATTGAAGTTAGATAACTTTTTGAGAGCGAAGAAAGCAGTACCCATAGTTACCCCAGGATGACAGGCATAAATTGAAATACGTGGTCAACGTAGTATATGGGAGACATGACTTTTAGGAGAAAATATTTCCAAATAACTCAAATCTTAAAAACCTCCAGAGACTTCAAACCCATTCTGAAAACATAATTTGCTGTTCATATCTCAAAATAACATGGTTATCACCTGGGGATAGAAAGATCATGACAACACTGATGTGTGCCATGAAATTCTTTCCATACTTACATGAGGTTGTCAGGTCCAAACTCCAAATGCAGAAAAACATGCAGAGAATTGTAGTTCTTGAGCATCTCTTCTTGAATTAGAGCATAACAATTAACTTTTAAATCATTTTTGGATACTATTGCCAATGCTTTTTATTTTGGGTATCTTTTTAACTTAAGTGCTAGCTTTCAGAAGTGGAAAGAAGGATAAATACTGTAATTATCCTTCTATTATAAAATATTACATTTTTAATTACAGCAATTATTTCTAGCTACAAATCTTTAAATGTATGATGTTTTACTTATGTTTGATAATAAATAGGCAATACTTTGTGATACACAGTTGACACAAGACAAATCTAAATAAAAAATGAGAACATGAGCCCCCTTAATTTTATGGATTGTTTTTTAAACTGACTTTGCTTCTATGCAGGCCTTTCACTTTCTGTAAACACTTAAGGGATATTTTTTAATACTCTGTAAAGTAAATTTCAGAATGGAAAACATAACTCCGAGGTGTATTTTCAATCCGCACAATTTTTTTTCACAGAGGTGTAGAAAACATTCTACCTGTTATTAAAAAAAATTCTATGTATTTTTGGTTTGTTTGTTTGTTTGTTTGAGAGGGAGTTTCGCTCTTCGTGCCCAGGCTGGAGGGCAATGTTGCGATCTCGGCTCACTGCAACCTCCGCCTCCCAGGTTCAAGCAATTCTCCCCTCAGATTCCCAAGTAGCTGGGATTACAGGTGCCTGCCACCACGCCTGGCTAATTTTTGTATTTTTGGTAAAGACAAGGTTTCTGCATGTTGGCCAGGCTGGTCTCAAACTCCTGACCTCAGGTGGTCCGCCTGTCTCAGCCTCCTAAAGTGCTGGGATTACAGGCATGAGCCACCACGCCCAGCCACAAATTCTGTGTTTTTAATAGCTTTATTGAGATATAATTTACCTGCTATAAAGTTACTCATTTGAAGTATAAAATTTAATAGTTTTAGTCCATTTATAGAGTTGTGCATCATCGTCCTAATCTTGTTATAGAACATTTTAACCATCTTCTCCCCAAAAAACCTTGATCACATTAGCAATCTCTCCCCATTCCCTCTGCTGTCCACCCCTCATGCAGCCCCCAGCCATAGACAAGAACTCATCAACTCTCTGTCTCTATATATTTGCCTCTTTGGAACATTTCACAAAAAATGGTATTATACAATATATTGTCTTTTATATCTGGCTTCCTTCATTTAGTATGTTTTTGAGATTCATAGGTGTTGTAGCATCTATCAGTGCTTCATTTCTTTCACTGTCTAATAGTGTTCCATTTCTTGGATATACTACATTTTATTTAGTCATTCCTCAGTGGGATCTTTGGGTTGTTTCCATTTTTGACTCTTAATGCTGCCATCCACGCAAAAGGTTTTTCAGTGTTTCATTTTATTGTCTTTTTTTTTTTTTTTTTTTTTTAACGTATGTTTTCTTTTCTCTTGGGTAGAATTCCACCTAGGAGTACAGTTGCTGAGTCATATGGTAACTCTCTGTTTAACCTTTTGAAAAATTGCCAAACTATTTTCAAAATTTGCTGTACCATTTCACATTCCCATCAGCAATATCTGAGGATCCCAATTTCTCTTCATACTTTCTAATACTTCTACATCTTTTTTAATATAGGCATTTCAGTGGATCCCTAATGATAATAGGCACTTCTGATTGTTTTTGTAAATAAAATGTTATTAGAACACAGCCACCCCCATTCGTTTATTCTTTTTTTTTTTTTTTTTGTTTTTTGTTTTTTGAGATGGAGTCTCGCTCTGTCGCCCAGGCTGGAGTGCAGTGGCTCTATCTCTGCTCACTGCAAGCTCTGCCTCCCGGGTTCATGCCATTCTCCTGCCTCAGCCTCCCATGTAGCTGGGACTACAGGCGCCCGCCCCCACGCCTGACTAACTTGGTTTTGTATTTTTAGTAGAGACGGGCTTTCACCGTGTTAGCCAGGATGGTCTCGATCTCCTGACCTCGTGATCCGCCCGCCTCGGCCTCCCAAAGTGCTGGGATTACAGGCGTGAGCCACCGTGCCCGGCTCCATTCATTTATTCTTATTGTCTATGGGTATTTTTGTGGTATGATGGCAGAGTTGAACCACAGAGACAACATGGCTCACAAATCCTAAAATATTTATTTTCTGACCCTTTACAGAAAAAGTTCACCAGCCTCTGCTTTAGCGAATCAAAAATTTACGTCCTCAATCATGTTTTATTTACAAGTGATTGGCGTATGTCAGGATGTTTAGTGAGCGATACAGGAGTATTTCATTGTATTTGGAGGGAATGATTGAAATGATTTTATACAGATAATCTTCTGAATTTGTGATTGGTGTTATATTTCAATTTATCAATTTATTCATATTTATTTAACAAGTTATTACATATATATTTATTCGGTATAGTTGTGAAAGTCTTATTATATGCCAGTGGCTGTGTTAGAATTTAAGGATAATGCAGTGAGGAGCAACAAGACCCCTGCTTTAACAGAGCTTACAATTTATGGAAAGACTGCCTCTTACTCTGAGGAAGGTGGGAGTCATCCAGTCTACAGTGGAGCTGAGGGCCTGAGGGAAAGAACTGTTAGAACAGATCACTGGTACAAGATCTGTAGTTCTGAGGAGGAGACTCTCCTCTTTGTATAATTTCTCAGAGCCTTTACCGTATGAAATATGCATTGCATATCTCTAGCAAGATTTCCAAGGTACCTGAGCACCAGATCTCTTAGTTTGATGAAGTATTTAGGGCTCCACGAAACATTTTCTGAAAAAAAAATTACATAGAACATTGTTGGTCAAGAATTGTCAGATGAAAAGATTCTTAAAAGACCCTAGAAACAAAACGAGATCATTTACTCAACATCTTTCTTTTTCTAGTGCTACGTGACCTTTTAATCTTGAAATTTTTCTTGTGTAGATGTTAGGCCTGTAAATTAGTTATGGTAATGTCAATTCAAAGCGTCTTTGAAGTTTAGTTTGTCCTTTATTGGATTCCTGTCTTTCATATTTGTCTTTCTAAAGCACTTTAAAATCTTGGAGAAGAAAGTTCAAGGAAAGATGATATAATAGATTATTCTTCCTTGGGCTGCAATACTTTTAAAAGGATTATTCCTTATCTTTTTGTTAAATTGACTTCTATAAATTTTTCAAAGTGAAGTGTTTTGGTTCTCAAAGGCTAGGAGTATCCTTTTATCTTCTTTTTCTATTCTCTCATATTTTCCTTCCTTGACAAATTCATGGCTGAATAACAGTATCGAAATGTTATCATAATTCTTTGGCTAATTATTTTTGTCAAGCCCCCCAAAAGGCAAAAACAAGCACTGTTTAAAATGTTTAGTTTGGCAGCATGAGATAAATTAGAAGTGCAGAGAATGAGCAACCTATGAGATCATCTGTCTGCTGCTACGTGCAGCCCATCACAATTCTAGACTGTTAGAAACTCAAGCTCAATTACCCACTTTGCTATTCAGTTCCTGCATACTTTGCGTGAATAACTGCCCCACTCTGTAACTCAGATTCCTCAGCTGTATAATCAATGGAGTTAATAATACTTATTTCAGTTATTGTGAAGCACCGAGTAGATGGTTGGCATGCAATAAATATAGTTACCAACCTATAACATTGGTCTAAGGAATGAAGAAACATCTGTTAGAAAGACAGCTTTTTAAATGAAAATACTAATAGTGCCCTGAAGAAAGATTTATCTTTCTTAGTATGTCACAGTTACCAGATGGAAAAATCAGCAAAATACAAAACACTTAATGAATATAGGTATCATGATATCATTATGATCATAAGGAAAAAAGTGGAACAGTTAGATGGGGTTATAACTGGTAAATCCATACTTGAACGAGATGTCTAACATTTAGAGTGGAGTTCCCCTGGGTTTATTAAAGGTTAGTGTTCTCTATCTTCCCCAGGGAGAATTTTATAAATATATAAATAACGATATGAATTACCTCTTTGGATAAATATATAAATGCTATTTAATAAAAAAAAAATGTGTCTGACCTAAAGCTGGAAGGGATTGATAATACGTTGAATAGCAGAATGATGACCATACCATATGGATAGGTGATGTGGTAAACCTAATTTGTGAGCTAATTTTTTTTGAAGAAATGTGAGAAAGATCTTTTTTGGATTCACAATATTATCTTCACAAATCTTTGAAAGGGAAAATGTAAGTGTGGAAAAGACTTCAGTATTTAAAATTACTGTAATTGCAAAATAAGAGTTATAGTGTGCTAAGGAGATACTTCTGACAAAAACAGTCCCATGTAACTATAGCCAGATCAAATTGATATGAAGTATCTGCAACAGTGGAGATTATTGACCTATTCAGTTTTAGACTTCATTATGACAGTGTTAGTTTCAGTGGAGCTACTCCATTCTGAGGGACAAAGATAAACGTTAAGGTATTCAAGAAAAGTTAAATAGTTGTGGGCAGTTGTTGATAAAAGGATTAAGACATTAAGAATAGCCATGTAGTTTGGAAAATCAACTACAAAAAATTATATCTGGAAATATCTTTCCAAAACTAGCTTTGACATTTTTGTTTCTACAACTCCATGTTTAGGCATGTAACATGAAGGAATCTCTCCTCACGTAAAAGAAATGCCTAGGGTTTTAAATTCCAGCATAGTTGTATAATATTGAAAACTACCTAAGGTGCTCATTGAATAATTTATGTATAACCACTGAGTAGAATAGTATTTGGCCATAAAAAAGAATGAAGAAAGTTTTCTCTGAACTGATATAAAGTGATTAAGAAGATATATGTTGTAAAGTATAATTACAGTATTTTAACTTTTGTTTCACAAATAAGGAAAAATAAGAATGTATGATATTTTTTCTCTCTCTTGAGATATCTCTATATCTGTTTGTCTATTTGTCTGAATCTGTCTGTCTGCTTGGGTATACTTTCCTGGCCAAAAAGAAAAAAAAAAACAAAAAACAGAAGTATAAACAGAAACTAAAAAATAGTTACCTCTGTAGAGTAGGTGAAAATGGGATAGAGGGAATAAGAATCGGAATGTAAGTTCCTTGAAAGCAAGAAACTTGCTTTATATAGTAAACTCTTTATGTAGTTGACGTTTTAATTATAAAAATATCCTATATATTTAAACAAACAAAATTAAAAGGATGAAAAAATCAGTTGAATCAATCAGACATACATGATCTTAACCAAATATCAAATTATTTACTACCATACTGAGAAAATAATAATTTAAGTAACTTTTACTTGATTAATTAATTTGTCAATTAACGTACTAATTCATCAACAAATTAAGATTATAAATTCAGGTAACATTATTCCTAAAAAACTCCATCTTAAATTCATCTGACTTTTCTATATTTCAATATTACCATTTCCCCATGATTTATACATGCTTAGAAAGATAAATTCTAAAGTCCAATACAACTGCAAAAATATCATTAGCTCTTGTTTTTTATTATAGTTGTATTGGTGTGGTCATTCTCACATTGTTTTCTGTATATATTGTATGAAAGAATTAGTGAGTAAATGCATTAGCATGGTTGGAAGAAAGGAGGCACAAATATGGAATGGGTATGTGTGGAAGAATGCTTTAGTGTTGGATTTTCTTTAGAAGTATCAGTATAACCCTGTTAGACATAGACACATACACATATTTAATACAAACTTCAAGCACATTTTCATCCATCTTAAATTTATCTGACTATTCTATGTTTCAATATTACCATTTCTTCTTGATTGAAGGATGTCATTATGCCTGTTTGTGCATATAATGAACAGATATTGATTTCTAAATACCACTCACTAAACACACATTGAAAACTGGGAAACTTAAATGGCTGATTTCAGGTCTGCAACAAGAAAGAACAAATTGGGTTATGCCAGAAAGCAATGGCATACTCAATGGTTAATAGGATAAGGTTGAAAAGGCACAGATGCTCTGTATAGGGAATTTATTGACCACATTTGGGGTATGTAGCTTCAGTAAGAAAAATATAGAATAACATGTTGAATTACAAAAAAAATCCAAGAGTACATAGTAATACAAGAGATAAAAAGAAAGACAAAAATGGCAGTTCTTTTAAAAAAGAATTATGTGATTTTATTAGCCCTTCTTCACCCTATTGCTGATAGAGGGATTCCTACTCTAGTGTTATATGGATGACAGAATATAACACCTGACACTGGGCAGATGAGATCACCTGCAGTTCATACACATTCATACTCACATATGGCATACATATATATACTCTCAGCTAGGGGAGGAGAGCACCCCATGCCACAGAGGCCCACACAGGTTGCACTTGGGAACAAAGTGAATAACCAGGGACTGTGGACAGCAAGATTTATAGTGTCAACAGAGGGAAAGGCCCCAGTACTCATGGGAGGATGTGGTTGGTTTAGTTATTTTTTTATTTTAAAATGTAATGTAAATTAATTTTAAGTTCTGGGATACATGTGCAGGATGTGCAGGTTTGTTACATAGGTAAACGTGTGCTATGGTGGTTTGCTGCACCTATCAACCTATCACATAGGTATTAAGTCCTGTAAGAATTAGCTGTTTGTCTTAATGCTCTCCCTCCCCTCACCCCCTCAAAGGGCCCTAGTGAGTGTTGTTCCCCTCCCTGTGTCAATATGTTCTCATTGTTCAGCTCCCACTTAGAAATGAGAAGAGGCAGTGTTTTGTTTTCTGTTCCTGTGTTAGTTTGCTGAGGATAATGGCTCCCGGCTCCATCCATGTCTCTGCAAAGACATGATCTCCTTCCTTTTTATGGCTGTATAACAATCCATGATGTATTTTCTTTATCCAGTCTATTATTGATGGGCATTTGGGTTGATTTCATATCTTTGCTATTGTGAATAGTGCTGCAATAAACATGCACATGCATGTATCCCAGTAATGGGATTGCTAGTCAAATGGCATTTCTGGTTCTAGAAATGCCATTTCTGGTTCTAGAAATGCCATTTCTGGTTCTAGGTCTTTGAAGAATTGCCATGCTGTCTTCCACAGTGGTTGAACTGATTTACATTTTCACCAACAGTGTAAAAGCATTCCTATCTCTCCACAGCTTCACCAGCTCTGTTCTTTCTTAAATTTTTAATAATCACCATTCTGACTGGCGTGAGATGCTTCTCATTGTGGTTCTGATTTACGTTTCTCAATTGATCAGTGATGTTGAGCTTTTTTTCATGCTTCTTGGCCATATAAATGTCTTCTTTTGAGAAGTGTCTGTTCATGTCCTTTGCCCACTTTTTAATGGTGTTGTTTGTTTTGTTTCTTGTAAATTAATTTAAGTTCCTTGTAAATTTTGGATATTAGACCCTTGTCAGATGGATAAATTGGAAAAATTTTCTCCCATTCTGTAGGTTGTCTGTTCAACTGATGATAGTCTCTTTTGCTGTGCAGAAGCTCTTTAGTTTAATTAGATCCCATTTGTTAATTTTTTCTTTTGTTGTAATTGTTTTGGCTGCTTTCATCATGAAATTTTTGCCTATGCCTATGTACTGAATGGCATTGCCTGCATATTGTTCTAAGGTTTTCACAGTTTTGGGCTATACCTTTAAATCTTTAATCTGTCTTGAGTTAATTTTTGTATAAGGTGTAAGGAGGGGTTCAGTTTCAATTTTCTACATGTGGCTAGCCAGTTCTCCCAGCACCATTTATTTTACATTTATTTATTTATTTAGTTTTTGTTTTTTTTCTAGGTCAAGTTTTTTTTTATTATTATTATTATACTTTAAGTTTTAGGGTACATGTGCACAACGTGCAGGTTTGTTACATATGTATACATGTGCCATGTTGGTGTGCTGCACCCATTAACTCGTCATTTACATTAGGTATATCTCCTAATGCTATCCTTCCCCCTTCCCCCTACCCCACGACAGGCCCCAGTGTGTGATGTTCCCCACCCTGTGACCCAGTGTTCTCATTGTTCAATTCCCACCTATGAGTGAGAACATGCGGTGTTTGGTTTTCTGTACTTGCGATAGTTTGCTGAGAATGATAGTTTCCCGCTTCATCCATGTCCCTACAGAGGACACGAACTCATCCTTTTTTATGGCTGCATAGTATTCCATGGTGTATATGTGCCACATTTTCTTAATCCAGTCTATCATTGGTGGACATTTGGGTTGGTTCCAAGTCTTTGCTATTGCGAATAGTGCTGCAATAAACATACGTGTGCATGTGTCTTTATAGCAGCATGATTTATAATCCTTTGGATATATACCCAGTAATGGGATGGCTGGGTCAAATGGTATTTCTAGTTCTAGATCCCTGAGGAATTGCCACACTGACTTCCACAATGGTTGAACTAGTTTACAGTCCCACCAACAGTGTAAAAGTGTTCCTATTTCTCCACATCCTCCCCAGCACCTGTTCTTTCCTGACTTTTTAATGATTGCCATTCTAACTGGTGTGAGATGGTATCTCATTGTGGTTGATTTGTATTTCTCTGATGGCCAGTGATGATAAGCATTTTTTCATGTGTTTTTTGGCTGCATAAATGTCTTCTTTTGAGACGTGTCTGTTCATATCCAGCACCATTTATTAAATAGGGAATCCTTTCCTCATTGCTTGTTTTTGTCAGGTTTGTTGAAGATCAAATGGTTGTAGATGTGTGGTGTTATTTCTGAGGCCTCTGCTCTGTTCCATTGGTCTATATATCCGTTTTGGTACCAGTACCATGCTGTTTTGGTTACTGTAGCCTTGTAGTATGATTTGAAGTCAGGTAGCATGATGCCTCCAGCTTTGTTCTTGCCCAGAATTGTCTTGGCTATGCGGGCTCTTTTTTGGTTCCATGTGAAGTTTAAAGTAGTTTTTTTCCAATTCTGTGAAGAATGCCAATGGTAGTTTAATGGGAGGGAATAACATCGAATGTATAAATTATTTTGGGCTGTATGGCCATTTTCATAATATTGATTATACCTATCATTGAACATGGAATGTTTTTCCATTTGTCTGTGTCCTATCTTATTTCCTTGAGCCATGGTTTGTAGTTTTCCTTGAAGAGGTCCTTCACCTCCCTTGTTAGCTGTATTCCTAGGTATTTTACTCCTTTTGTAGCAATTGTGAATGGGAGTTCATTTATGATTTTGCTCTCTGCTTGTCTATTATTAGTGTATAGGAAAGTTTATGATTTTTGCTCATTGATTTTGTATCCTGAGACTTTGGTGAAGTTGCTTATGAGCTTAAGAAGTTTTTAGACTGAGACAGTTGGGGTTTTCTAGATATAGGATCATGTCATCTGCAAATAGAGACAGTTTGACTTCCTCTCTTCCTACCTGAATACCCTTTATTTTTTCTCTTGCCTGATTGCCCTGGCCAGAACTTCAAATACTATGTTAAATAGTAGTTGTGAAACAGGACATCCTTGTCTTGTGCTGATTTGCAAGAGGAGTGTTTCCAGCTTTTGCCCTTTCAATATGATATTGGCTGTGGGTTTGTAATAAATGGCTCTTATTTTTTTGAGGTATGTTCCTTCAATACCTAGTTTATTGAGAATTTTTAACATGAAGCGATGTTGAATTTTATCAAAGGCCTTTTCTGCATCTATTGAGAATCATGTGGTTTTTATATTTAGTTCTGTTTATGTGATGAATTACATTTATTGATTTGCATATGTTGAACTAGCCTTGTATCCCAGGGATGAAGTGACTTGATCATGGTGGATAAGCTTTTTGATATGTTGCTGGATCCAGTTTGCCAGTATTTTGTTGAGGATTTTTGCATTGATGTTTGTCAGGCATTGATATTGGCCTGAAATATTCTTTGTGGTATCTCTGCCAGGTTTTGGTATCAGGATGATGCTGGCTGCATAAGATGAATTAAAGAGAAGTCCCTCTTTTTCAATTGTTTGCAATAGTTTCAGAAGAAGTGGCACCAGCTCCTCTTTGTACTTCTGGTAGAATTCAGCTGTAAATACATCTGATCCTGGGCTTTTTTTTTTTTTTTTTTTTTTTTGTGGTTTGTAGGCTATTAATTAGTGTCTCAATTTCAGAACTTGTTATTGGACTATTCAAGGATTCAACTTCTTCCTCGTTCAGTCTTGGGAGGGTGTATGTGTCCAGTAATTTGTCCATTTCTTATAGATTTTATAGTTTATTTGCATAGGGGTATTTATAGCATTCTCTGATGATTGTTTGTATTTCTTTAGGGTCTGTGGTGATATCCCCTTTATCATTTTTTATTGTGTCTATATGATTCTTTTTTCTTCTTTATTAGTCCAGCTAGTGGTCTATTTTATTAATTTTTTCAAAAACAAACTGGATTCATTGATTTTTTGAAGGGTTTTTTGGGTCCCTTTCTCCTTCAGTTCTGCTCTGATCTTGGTTATTTCTTGTCTTCTGCCAGTTTTGGGGTTTGTTTACTGTTGGTTCTCTAATTCTTTTAGTTGTGATTTTAGGATATTGATTTGAGCTCTTTCTAGCTTTTTGATGTGGACATTTTAGTGCTACAAATTTTCCTCTTAACACTGCTTTAGCTGCATCCCAGTGATTTTGATACATTGTCTCTTTGTTCTCATTGGTTTCAAAGAACTTCTTGATGTATGCCTTAATTTCATTATTTACCCAGGAGTCATTCAGGAGCAGGTTGTTCAATTTTCATGTAGTTGTGTGCTTTTGAGTGAGTTTCTTGATCCTAAGTTCTAATTTGATGGCACTGTGGTCTGAGAGACTGGTTGTTATGATTTCAGTTCTTTTGCATTTGCTGAGGATTATTTTACTTCCAATTATGGGATCAATTTTAGAGTAAGTGCCATGTAGCACTCAGAAGAATTTATATTCTGTTGTTTTGGGGTGGAGAGTTCTGTAGGTATCTATCAGGTACACTTGCTGCAGAACTGAGTTCAAGTCCCGTATATCCCTGTTAATTTTCAATTGTGATGATCTGTCTTATATTGACAGTGGGGTGTTGAAGTCTCACACTGTTACTATGTGGGAATCTAAGTCTCTTTGTAGGTCTCTAAGAACATGTTTTATGAATCTGGGTTCTTCTGTATTGGGTACATATATATTTCTGATAGCTAGCTCTTCTTGTTGAATTGAACCCTTTAGCATTATGCAATGCCCTTCTTTGTCTTTTTTGATCTGTGTTGGTTTAAAGTCTGTTTTGTCAGAAAACTAGGATTGCAACCCTTGCTATATTCTGCTTTCCATTTGCTTGTTAAATTTTCCCCCATCCCTTTCTTTTGTGTCTTTGTACGTGAGATGGGTTTCTTGAATGCAGCACACTGATGGGTCTTGACTCTATCCAGCTTGCCATTCTCTGTCTTTTGATCAGGGCATTTAGCATGTTTACATTTAAGGTTAATATTATTATGTTTGATTTGTGTGTCCTTGGTCTTTGTTCTTCAGTGTGTTTTTGTAATGGCTGTTAACGATTTTTCCCTTCCATATTTAGCCCTTCCTACAATAGCTCTTACAAGGCAGGCATGATGGTGACGAATTCCCTCAGCATTTACTTTTCTGAAAAAGATGTTATTTCTCCTTTGCTTTTGAAACTTAGTTTGGCCAGATGTGAAATTCTGGGTTGGAAATTCTTTTCTTTAAGAATGGGAGAAAATTTTTACAATCTACCCATCTGACAAAGGGCTAATGTCCAGAATCTATAAAAAACTTAAATAAATTTACAAGAAAAAATCAAACAACCCCATCAAAAAGTGGGCAAAGGATATGAACAGACACTTCTCAAAAGAAGACATTTATGCAGCCAAAAGACACATGAAAAAATGCTCATCATCACTGGCCATCAGAGAAATGCAAATCAAAACCACAATGAGATACCATCTCACACCAGTTAGAATGGCAGTCATTAAAAAGTCAGGAAACAACAGGTGCTGGAGAGGATGTGGAGAAATAGGAACACTTTTACAATGTTGGTGGGACTGTAAACTAATTCAACCATTGTGGAAGACAGTGTGGTGATTCCTCAAGGATCTAGAACTAGAAATACCATTTGACCCAGCCATCCCATTACTGGGTATATATCCAAAGGATTATAAATCATGCTGCTATAAAGACACATGCACACGTATGTTTATTATGGCACTATTCACAATAGCAAAGACTTGGAACCAACCCAAATGTCCACCAATGATAGACTGGATTAAGACAATGTGGCACATATACACCATGGAATACTATGCAGCTATAAAAAAGGATGAGTTCATGTCCTTTGTAGGGACATGGATGAAGCTGGAAACCATCATTCTCAGCAAACTATCGCAAGGACAGAAAACCAAACACCACATGTTCTCACTCATAGGTGGGAATTGAACAATGAGAACACTTGGACACAGGGTGGGGAACATCACACACCAGGGTCTGTTGTGGGGTGGGGGTAAGGGGGAAGGATAGCATTAGGAGATATACCTAATGTAAATGACGAGTTAATGGGTGCAGCACACCAACATGGCACATGTATACATATGTAACAAACCTGCACGTTGTACACATGTACCCTAGAACTTAAAGTATAAAAAAAAAGAAAAGAATGTTGAATATTGGCCCTCAATCTCTTCTGGAATATAGGGTTTCTGCTGAGAGGTCCACTGTTAGTCTGACAGGCTTCCCTTTATAGGTGACCTGACCTTTTTCTCTGGCTGCCTTTAACATTTTTTCCTTCATTTCAACCTTGGAGAATCTGATGATTATGTGTCTTGGGGTTGATCTTCTCATGGAGTATCTTACTGGGGTTCTCTGGATTTCCTGAATTTGAATGTTCACCTGTCTTGGTAGGTTGAAAAAGTTCTCCTGGATGATATCCTGACGTATGTTTTACAACTTGGTTTCATTCTGCCTGTCTCTTTCAGCTACCCCTATCAGTCATAGGTTCAGTCTTTTTACATAATCTCATAGTTCTTGGAGGTTTTGTTCATTCCTTTTCATTCTTTTTTTTTCCTAATCTTCTCTTCCTGTTTTATTTCAGCAAGATAGTCTTCAAGCTCTGAAATTCTTTCCTCTGCTTGATCTCTTCAGTTATTGATACTTGTATTTGCATTGTGAAGTTATTGTGTTGTGTTTTTCAGCTCCATCCGGTCATTTATGTTCCTCTCTAAACTGGTTATTCTGTTTAACAGCTCCTTCTGAAGACTACTTCCGTCAGTTTATCCATCTCAGCCTCTGCCTAGTTCTGTGCTCTTGCTGGAGAGGTGCTGCAATCATTTGGAGGAGAAGAGGCACTCTGGCTTTTTGAGTTTTCAACATTTTTTCATTGATTCTTTCTCATCTTCAGGAGTTTATCCAGCTTTGATCACAGAAGCTGCTGACCTTTGGATGGGTTTTTTTGTGGGGACTTTTTTGTTGACGTTATTGTTATTGTTGCTTTCTGTTTGTTTATTTTTCTTTTAAGAGTCAGGCTCTTCTTTCATAGGCGTGCTGCAGTTTGCTTGGGGTCCACTCCAGACTCTATTTACCTGGTTCCTTTCCACACCTGGAAGTGTCACCAGTGGAGGCTATAGAACAGTAAAGATGGCTGCCTTTTCTTTCCTCTGGGATCTCTGTACCAGAGGGGCACTGACCTGATGCCAACAGAAATGCTACTGTATAATGTGTCTGGCAACCCTAATTGAGGGTTCTCCTCCAGTCAGGAGGCACCGGATGTGGGACTCACTAACTGAGGCATGTTGGCTGCTCCTTGGTGGAGGAGGTGCACTGTGCTGGGAGGAATCCCACTTGTCTAGACTGCCCAGATTCCTCAAAGCCAGCAGGGGCAAAGACTAAGTCTACTGATTTGCGAAGACTGCGGCCACCCCTCCTTCTAGGGGCTCAGTCCCAGAGAGATTAGAGTTCTGTTGCTAAAACCCTGGCTGGAGTTTCTGAAATTCTTGTAGGGAGGGCTTGCCTAGGGAAATGGTGTGGGTAAGGATCCAGCCTAAAGAGGCAATCTGGCCACACTCTGCCACAGCCACGGTGCTGCACTATGGGGAATTCCTCCAGGGTCCAAACCATCCATTTTCCCTGGCATTGCAGGGGAAAGATGGCAAACTGGAGCTGCAGTGATGGCGGCCACCCCTCCTCCCGGAACTCAGTCATCTTATGCAGCAGGCAGCCACAGTGATGGCTGCCGCCCTTCCCCTTGAAAGCTCAGCCATCTTAGGCAGCATGCAGCCACAGTGATGATGGCCACCCCTCCCTCTGGGAACTCGGTAGTCTTAGGCAGTCTCCAGCCGAGTAGCCGCTGAGAATCTGCACAACTCTGCGGTTCAGACCCAAGGCTCTGGTGGCGTGGGCTGACAAGGGGGATCTCCTGATCTATGGGTTGCACAGATCTGTGGAAAAAGTGTGGTTTCCCAGGCAGAGTAGCACCATCACTCACCGCCTCCCTCGGCTGAAGGTGGTAGCTCCCCTTGCCCTGTCTGACTCCTAGGTGGGCTGTGGCACCACTCTGCTTTTCCTTACTCTCCGTAGGTCACACCAACCACCTACTCAGTCCCATTAAGAAGACCTGGATACCTCAGTTCAGTCTGTTTAAATAATTCTTCAAGTTTGCAGGCAACTGAAACTCACCAGTTAATGATTAAGTAGTAGCCGCACCTGTTCCATTTGATAAGAAAGGTTATTTGGAGAGGATCTTAGCTCTAGAAGCCCAATGGGGAGGGAAGCTTGTGGTTAAGTTATTGGAGGCCCTGTGATTTCACCAGATATCCAGTCAGCACATAATTTTAGACATTAGTTCTTAGGCTTTATATCATATAATAAATATGGCTGGAATGATAGACTAGAAAACTCTTGATGTTTCTGTCCTAATATTATAATTTATTAATGAAAGAATTATCAATACATTCTAAAATCATTGGGCAAAAAGTGTTTAAGAATAGAATATTCATGTTTTCAAAGCATCATTGCACATATTACTTGAAAGGTGGAACATGTCCCTTTAAAATGGAAAGATCATACAGTGACAATCTTAACCAAGTGGCTAAGTTTGGCATTACTGATGGTGTAAAGCCTAACTTTTTGTTTCTTCTGATGACATGCAATGGGAGATTCACTACACCAGTTTTGTGGTATTCTTACCAAAAATGTTGACCTCAGTCTAATCGCAAAAAAAAAAAAACAAAAAACAGACAAATCTATGATGGTATGCTTTGCGAGACAGCTACCCTGGGCTTCTCAAAAAGTTAATACTTTAATATTAAATCAAAATATGTAATAATGAATAATAGGGGAAAACATCAACTATTTTAAATTAGATAAGACTAAAGTAACGTAACAGTGAAATGCAATGCATGAAGTTGCATGACAGACCGAAAAGATATAAAGAACATTTACGTGACTATTGATGAAATGTAACGTAGGTTGCATGTTGTATAATTTTATTAAACTGTTTATTTTTCTCAGGTGTGGTAATGGTGTTGTGGTTATATATTCTTGGGAGGCCCATACTTAAATATAATTGTGCAATCTCCTTTGGATCATTCAACAAAACAGTTGTGTGTATGTTTATGTTAAAAGAGAGAAGGAGACAGAGAGAGAGAAAAGGAGAGAGACAGAAAAAGAGAGAGAGTGAGAGAAGGAGAGAAGGAGAAAAAGTGAGAGAAATGAAGTATATATGGAAAGATGTTGAGAATTAGTGATTCTAAGTGAGGATTATGCAGATCTTTATTGTACTGTTCTTTCAACTTTTCTTCAAGTTTGAGGTTTTTAAAAGTAAAAAAAAAAATTACCACATAGCTGAAGGTGAAAACATACCAATTATGGTGGATAAATAACTTAAACAGGGAGTCAGACTTCTGCTCACATCCCTTATCATAATAAAATTGCAGAATCTAAGAGGAAGTGGAATCTTAAGAGATTTTAGAAGAAAGGCAGTCTACAGAAGACAAGCAATTTAAACAGGCCTCTCAGCAACAGCCATTAGAAACCTAAATACAATGGAATGTAACTTCAGTGAGCTGAAATAGCTTAAAATTCTGTACCTAGCCAATACACTTTTCCTGAGGGTAAAATATATGTTTGAACAGATAATCTGGGATAAGCCAAAAACAAATACTCAGTAAAATAAATGTTAAAGGTATAATGTAAACAGAAAAAAAAATCCAGATGTGAAAGTAATGATACAAAAAGAAATTATGAGCAATTATATTGGCAAAAATGTGACTAAATCAAAGCAAATTATGACTATATAAAGCCAAAGTAATTTGAAATTTTGTGAAGAGGAAAAATATCTTTCAAAAAACTGATTAAAAAATTATATACACAATAGGAAGGGGAGTAAAGTAACTGTATACTATGGCTTTTGAGTAGTTTGAAGAGGGGTAAGTTAATTGTTTTTAAATTAGCATAATCACAAAAAATATAGATGCAAAGTACAAATTTCTAAAAATAGAGGAGAAAAATAGAATAAGAAAATAGGAGGCACAGAATTGAGACTCCAAGAATATGAAAAATACAATCCAGGTGATAGAGTAAGATTGGGCAACAGTGACAGAATAAAGATTGAGGAATAGGTAAACCAATGAAATATATTGTTAGGAGAGCATTTCCAAGACCACAAAGAAACTTAGCAGCTCTCAATTATAAATAAAAGTTATTTTATGATAATACTAAAACTCTTATTGAATTTATGAGTGAGCCCCGAAATAGAACATGTTTCATAGGCATAAGACTTGATTAAATCACTATTTTCTCTAGGAGGGAGGCCCCTGTGACCTGGGGGGAAGCCTACACACAGCTCTCACTGATGGACAAGAACAGTGGCCATCCCAGTCAAACTAAACTTGTGTGAAGAAAAATTAAGCCTAGACATCACCAGTCTGTGACCTCTAGTACCACCCTTGTACCTGTATCACATTCTACTGGTATAACTCAAATATAAGTTCAGAGTGAAAGCACTGAATCATGAAACTAAGAGGGTAACCTGTAGAAGAAGAGCCAGAGATCTGATTGCATGTTAGGCTTCACTCTAGACTGTAGCCTCTGAGGATTAATAAAATCTTTGGAATGCAAAGATCACTTTTCCTCTGAATAAGATTTGTGAAATCTCTAGAATTATGCACTTTCATATACATCTGTGGTTCTGCCTAATTTTAATGGGTACTGCCTTCTGATTCTGTGGGAAGAAAATATCATGGGACTTTGAAATCCGTCAGTTGATTGCACATTTCTTGTTCAGTCAAAATTTACTTAGAATTCCAAGTGTGCATTTACTAAAACTGTGCTTGAAGGGTTGGTAGTGGGTGATTTTAATTCTCTAGTATTATATGTGATTGCAGTCTGGAAGGCTGAACTATTTTGGTGATGGCCAACCATGCAGTAAGAAGGTTAACACAATTTGCAATGGTAATCTCTCTTTCATCTACACATTTCAGTCAACCTTGGCATTATCTCTAAGGCCGAATCCAAGTGCCTGTAAGCCAGAAGCCTTCAGGAAAGAGCAGCTGTTTTTGTGCTCTCTCACATCTTGAATTCTAGGTCAAAATGTCATGTAAAAGTTTTTTCACTAAAATATCTATATTGATTTCTAGGAATAAAATAGAAATGCCTGGAGGATTCTGTGTATTTTCCCTGTAAGTCACTGAAATATCCTGGTAGGCCATCAAGAAATAAAATGGATTTTGTCTCCATTGTATGATTGAGTCCTCCCTTGAAATCCTTGCTATTATCTGGACCAACAAATGTGTAGAGTCCAGACTAAGAGTGGAGTTGATTCAGTGTATGTATCCATGGGATTTTGGTCAACAAAACAGGACTACTTAAAGCCTTGTTGGGTAGGGGTTTATTATAGGAATCAGACCTTACACAAACACGGAAGCACTAACTGAAGAGAAAGTGTTTAAGGGGGACTGGGATGATCAGAGAAAGAATCACTGGCTGGTTTTCCTGAAGCGCTGACTCAGGTAGACAAGAAGCCAAGCATGCTCTACTGCCAAAGTAGGACTCTGAAGGGGGCACTTCAGCAAGGTCTGTAGGAAGATGTTGTCTTTGGTGGCCACTACCACTGTGAGTCCACAGCCAAATGCCCAGTGGTAGGTTTGGGGCCACCATTAGTCAGCAGGGCCAGCTACTGAAAAGGTGGACTAGATTCAGAGAAGAGGAGAATAAGGATACACTGAGTCTTGCTGGGTACCCCTCTACGTATCTTAGGCATCTATCTTATGAAAACCTTCTGAAAGTAGTAGCTTCTGTTTCTCTTCTTCCTTCCATATCTCACTGAACGTCTCTCTTCTGGCCAATTCTAATGTAGAAATATCAGGAAAGGGTATTGGGAAATGTAATACTCCATATTTGCCTGACATAAGCAAGATAATCTAGTTAGAAGCTGGCAATTTCCTTATAACCTAGGACAATTAGGAAGTAGAAATTAGAGTCTAAAGCAGTCTGCAAACTAGGAAGACAGTGGCAAACAGGAGTAACAGGAAACGAAGTCAGGTGCAGTAGACAAACATCTGTCCTGGTGTTATAGGTTGTGCCAGTATATGGGAGGCTGAGGGTCAGAAGGTTTATGCAAAGAACCAAAGCGAAGCAAGATTTACCTCTGAAATGACAGGAGGTCACAGGTACATGAAACTCAAATGCATTACAGGTTTTTTTTTTTCTTTGTTATCCAAATATAAAGAGCAGGAGATAAATTTCATCACCTTTTGAGGTGTTTGTTAAAACATGTAGATTTCTGAAACCTCCTTGCAGACCTAGGAACCGGAATCTCTAGGGTTTTGATTCAGGAATCTGCATTTTAAATACAATCCTCAGATGGTTCTTCTGTGCAGTCTAGTTGGGAAATATATGATTCGCAGAGTGACAGATTCATGCTAACGTCATGTCAGGTACTTACTGATCTGCTTCAGCACTGAGAACAGAGACTGAATTAGAGGACCAGATATATAAGTGATTTTTTTTTAACTGACTCATACAGTAGATTTTTTTTTTTTTTTTAGAGAAGATAAAATTCAGGCTGGAGATGGCAAATAAATTATTCATGTCACCTACCTAGTAAGTGACTGGGCCTATACTCTAATTTAGATCTACTTGACTCCAAAGTGTACCCTTTGAGTGTTGAATGGAGTAAAAGGCTTCAGGCTTGCAGAATTACTGACTTGCTTGCTAAACATTCATCAGTGAGACCCCTCAGGGAAGGAAAAGTAATACTGGTCTCCTATTAAACTAAGTCTGTGTGGATTTCTAAGAAAAGTCCTGGAGGCCAACATTCCCCCAAATAAAAGAACTAGTAATGGAGGAAGGCAGGTCCTGAAAAAATCACTCCCAAGAAAAATGAGAACTTCACACTCGCTTTGTTTTCTGCCCCCTCCTCCTCCCTCTCTGTGGACCCAGCACTTACAACTACTATGACCTCTTCCATCTTTATGTGTCTTCATCATACCAAGTATTCCCCTTTCTTATCTGAAAAAGAAAAAAAAAGAAGAAAGGAAAAAAAAAAACGACATCTTGATCTCGTTTATATGGAATTAATTTTACAGTTAATAAGTAAAACCTAATATTTTTTGTCTACTTTTTTGGGAGCAATATGGTGAACTCATATTGGCAAAGTTATTTAATGGTTTTATGAAGGAATAGATAAGTGTGAGTGAGAAAGTGTGGAATCAGATCGCAGCTGTAAAGATAAGCTGAACTATGGCAGCGCAATGTGACCCCTAGTCCTTGCATTCTAATTTAGGTTCTGCTGGGAAGCTTTACGAGATTATTGAATACCTTTCTAGCAATTAGAGCTGGCCTGGATGGTTCCGGTTGCCTTGGGAATTTGGAAATTCTTCTATGTGAAAGATGTTTCTGCAGGAGCTGATCATTATACACCGATGTTACAAACAATTAATTTATAAAGTACAAAGTTTCAATTTCACAGTGTTTATTTTGTTTTTTTCTGTTAGCTATCTGTTCACCAGATAACTATCATTCTTTCCATATCTTGTGGAATTCCTGCTAGGACTAATAAGATAGGAACTGGAAAATAGCTTTGAAAATAGAATAATTACTTTGAAAATAGAATAATATGTATTATATGATATACATACAGGAAAGTACTCCTGCAACAGCAACAATTGTACTGATTCTAATATCCCAAATCCAGCGGCTGCTCTTCACCCTCTCTCCTAGCCCAAGCCATCATTTCTACCAGTTTACTACCACAGTCTCTTAAATGATCTGCCTGTGTTCTGTCTGCTTCCACAAGAGTCCATCGTCTACTCAAAGTTGTTCAGATCCTGTCATTTCCTTGCCATAAGAGGAGAATCAGGACAAGTTTTGCCACGGCATCAAGGCCCCGCGTGATTTGTCCTCACCTGTTTTCCCAGTGTCATCTCCTCACAGTCTTCCTTGGTTATCTGCATTTCAGCATCACAGACTTGCTTTCTAGTCCCCAAATGTGCCCACCTCATTTCCATCTTTGTCTCTGCTCTTCCCGTTCATTTCCAATACTACCTCTTCAGAGAGACCTCTTTAAACCAGCCTACATAAATGAACCCCACTCTCTCCCTCTATCCTAGTATCCTGTTTAGTCTTTTTATTACCGTACTTATCACTGTCTGAAGTTATCTACTTATGAGTCTCTATGTGTATTATTAGTTTTCTGCTATTATACCGAAGTGCAAGCTCAATAAGGGTAACGTCTTTGTCTTATATCCTCAGTTCCTAGAAGAATGCCTGTCAGATACTGGGTTCAATGTGCATGTGGAATAAATGAATGGATAAATGGAAGGAATTCAATTATATTTGACATTTGGTAGGCAGCCAGATTCAGTGAAATTATGGAATACTGGTGCCTCAAAACAAAACCTTTTCTTATGTCATTTCATATACGATAGTGTTACCAAGTATCAACCTTTTCAGCCACACAGCCTGAAATAATGAAATGGAACATAGTAGTTGGACTTGGAACCAACTTCTGCCTTAAGCAGAAAGCTCATGCAGAATTTAAAGCGATTATTAAGGAAAGAAAATCCTCTTCAACACCCACAGAAAGATAGGGCATTGCTTTTCAAGTCATAAGATTTTCAGTAATTAGATAGGAGAATTATAAATATATTATTTGCATGTTACACATTCCTGTAACTCTAACCATCCAAATATGGTTTCTATATTCAAAATAGGTAGCAATTTAAATATAAATGAGACAATGCCTCATACATACAATATAATATTTAACTTAAAACACCGAGATGGTTAATTCCGTGTGTCAGTTTTGCTAGCTACAGTGCCCAGATATTTGGTCAAACATTCCTCTGGATGTCTCTGTGACAGTGCTTTTTTGGATGAGATTAACATTCAAATCAGTGGACTTTGAATAAAGAAGATTACCCTCCCACAAGGTGGGTGGGCTCATCCATTAGTTTAAGGTCTTATCAGAAAAAAATTGACCTTCCTTAAGCAAGAAGGAATGCTGCCAGCCAACTACCTTTGTACTTGAACTGCAATTCTTTTCCGCGTCTCCAGCCTGCTAATCTGTGCCATTAGATTTTGGACTCTGCAGTCTCCAGGGACAATAGCATGGCACAGTCCCTAAAATAAATTTCCCAATCTTCCTCTCTCTCCTTCTCTTCTTATTTCTCTTAAATTCCCTTTCTCTTTCAATCTCTCTATCTCCCTCTCTCCTTTCCCTATCTCTCTATCTCTCTCTCTCCCTCTCAGTATCTCATACACACATACGTACAAATATATGTGTGTTTACATATATGCATATGCATTATATATATATTTATACACACACATCTTGTCCTGTTTCTCTGGAGCATTCTGATACAGACACATTTCTGATTATAGATTTAATATATACTATATTGTAGTTTAAACATATAGATATATAGAGAGAGATTTAAAATATACTATGTTGTAGTTCAAAATATACTATTGAAAAAATTTACATAACCTGTCCAAATGTTTATTTGGCTATTAATTCAATTAAACAGATTGACCTCATCTATCATTTCTGATAGATTACTTCTAAGAAACAGAAGATGGTAAGTAATATCTCATGCATTATGAAGTCATTTAAATTATTTAACATGCATTAAAGGAGAAATTCAATGTAGCTCATTTCTTCAGGTTTACTAATTAAAGTCAGTCTTGACTCTAGAAATAAAAAAAAAAATGCGTAAGAAGAGCAACTGTGACAGCATTAATATTCAGTGAAATTGATGACCTTAGTGGGTTAGTTTTATATAAACTGTTACGGTACGTACAACTTGTCACTGTAGTTCAAAGTTATGTTCAACACAATGGTTCTTCTTAATTGCTCAAGACACTCCACTGTGACATTGGCTACTTCGGCTGCAATAGAGAGATTAAAGAATCAAGTCATTGTATTTTACAGTTAACAGGATTGCTAATAAAGAATAGTAGCAGCATGAAAAATTGTAGAGAGGCAGTAAAACTGAAAGCTCAAGGGTCTACCTGTATAGACTGCGAAATCCATATACTGCACCAAGATTACAAATGGTGATTAAAGAGGAGCCCACGATATAATAGATTAAAACAAAAGGTTAGGTGTCTAACAGAACACTGGATGATTCTGGGAGGATGGGGCACATAAGACGTTATAAAAACAGAGTTATATTCCAAGGCCCTTTTTAAATTACAAGAATTACTTGTACTTTTACTGGCATTAGTTTTTGCCTGCAAATGTTGCTAGATTCATCATACTTTTAGAAAGCTGATTACAAGGTTTTGGTCTGTTCCCATGAAATTCCATCCCCAGATTTTGTGACAGTAGCCCTTCATTTAGCAAAAACTCATGAGTTTCTTCTCTGTACCAGTTGCTGATGAGCTTAGTCAGTTATTTTTTATGCTGTCACTGTTTAGGGCAAATCAAACCATTGTCTAAACAGTTCACTTTGGAATATTGTGAAAAAAATAAAGTAGAGATCCACTTAAAAATGTTGAATGTGGTTCTTGTCTTTATCTTTGTTGGTACTTTCCTGTCATTGCCATAATCATTGGCTCCATTAGCACCTGACTGGCCAATCAGGTCAGTTGACTTTGTTCATCTGAGCCACTGAACATTTCTAAATCCAGTCTCATACTGCACATCAACTGTGGTTCCCCATTTGTAAATTAAAAAAACTTAACCATGTCTAACCCACAGGAAAATAATAGTTTCTTTTTTTAAATATATATATATTTTTATTATACTTTAAGTTCTAGGGTACATGTGCACAACGTGCAGGTTTGTTACGTATGTATACATGTGCCATGTTGGTGTGCTGCACCCATTAACTTGTCATTTACGTTAGGTATATCTCCTAATGCTATCCCTCCCCCCTCCGCCCACTCCGCAACAGGCCCCGGTGTGTGATGTTCCCCTTCTTGTGTCCAAGTGTTCTCATTGTTCAATTCCCACCTATGAGTGAGAACATGCGGTGTTTGGTTTTTTGTCCTTGCGATAGTTTGCTGAGAATGATGGTAATAATAGTTTCTTAGTTTACTTGTTCACTGAAGGACTGGATGCAATGGCTCATACCTATAAACCCAACACTTTGGAAGGCCAAGATGGGAGGATTACTTGAGGCTAGGAGTTCCAGACCAGCCTGGGCAGCGTAGAGACACTCCGTCTCTATAAGGTATTTGAAAAAAAAAAAAAATAGCTAGGCATGGTGGCGTGCACCACCTGTAGTCCTAGCTACTTGGGAGGCTGAGGCAGGAGGATCCCTTGAGCCCAGGAGTTTGGGGCTGCAGCAAGCTATGATTGAGCCACTGCACTCCAGCCAAGGTGACAGAGTGAGACCTTGTCTCTAAAAATAAAAATTTAAAAAGTTATTAATTGAATAGGAGTTTGGTGTGGGTGGAGTTAACAGTCAGTACCACTAATCTCCATATTTTAATGTGGTTTATATAAACTATACCACCAAAGATATAATTATTTATATTGAAATATCAGCATGCCTAACAACATAATTGGATTCTATGTTTATTTGCAATATGAGTAAGTCAGAGGAAAACTGATAGAGTAGGAAAGTCAGATTTCAAAGGTGAACTGTATAGGAACTTGCCCTTTGGTCTTACAGTGCTGTCTCCTATTATTTTAAGCATTCACCTTAATGATACCATGAAAAGTATTCTCAAATGGGATCATATAGGAAGCCAAGACACAGACTGTTTTAGCTTAAAGGGCCCTGAGAATTGAGATTGTTTTGAATTCCTAAACACTTTCCTTATGTTATAGGCCAAGCCCAAGTCCCAAATGTGCTTTACTCTGTTCCACTGAGTTTTAAAACTTTGTATCAGTTACCAACATTGAATATTGAGAGTTTTGATATAGAGATAGTAATTTTCAATTTATTTAGAAGATTAGAAAATGTGGTACACATCCCTGCATGACTATGATAAGCTGGAGCTGAGAAGCTACACCCTCTTTCAGATGAGTCCTGTGATACTCAGGGCTTCCCAATCCCCACCAGCCACTTTATTTTTTACATCACCTGCCTAGAAACTATATCAAATGACTTCTCAGTCCCTTAGTCTGAATCCTTCATTTTTCCCATGTAATAATTTGAGTTATGAATAGAAATAGTAATTTGCCTGAAATTGAGGAAAATGAAACTCCCCCTTACTAAGCCATCATGTTATATCCCCTTCTTCCTTATTATAAAAAAAATTATGCTGTTCAGGGTGGATGCACGTTTAAGTCAAAATATAGAAAGTAAACAAAACCATTAAGTTCTTAGGCACATTTGCAAAAATGACTCATTATATAACATGCTATGTTCCAATATTAAAAAGCAGAAATCAGTTGGGGATTTCTGGGAAATGTTTGCTCTACTTCCTCTTTTTATTCCAACTCTATTTCCTTCTCTGTCTTCCTATATAAAACATTAAGATGAAGCTGAAGCATTTATATCATGATGACGAGGTAACAATTATTGGGACAAAGCACAACATAAATATCATAGACAGGAAAGACAGAAGAGTCTAAATATCATAAGGCGTTATGTTTTGTTTTTTGTTAAATATGATCCTGACTGACATAATCCTGACTGATACACATATATATTTCACTTCCCATCACACACACACACGCACATGCACATACACATGCACACACATGCACGTGCGTGCGCGCACACACACACACACACTTCTTTGCCCTCTTTGCCTCCTCCTATTTATTATTTTATTCAACAGAGAGTGACTAGTGCTTACTCTATGTCACCATATTACTGCACTGGCCCTGCTTCTACCTGGCAGTGATGGAGATCAGACTGTCACATATTGCTTCTAAACTTAGTAGGCTCATAGAAATTAAAAATAGCATGTTCTACCTAGAGCTTTAAAGATCATTACAGTGGGGCTATTAGCACTGTGAATGGGAACACAGCCTGACTCTGGGTAAAAAAAAAGAAATTGAAGAGATTATATATGGGAGATTCTATAATTACTTTAACAAAATTAAGAGATAAGGCAACAAAGATCTAATACTGTAAGTCCCACCTGCATTATTTGTGCTGAAACACCATGTCTGTACATTGGCTGTGACATGTAATACCACTGAAACACAGGGTGTTTAGCAAACATTTAGTTATTTCCTTAAGCCACCTGGGCTAACAGGCAAGGGATTCCTACGTAGATGGCTATACTGAAAGATTTTGACACCATTTAAAAACATTCTTAGGACTTTTGAGTGAATTATGTTTTCAGATTATTTAGTTTGGGCAGGTTAAACAGACTGTTTTTATACAAATTCTAAAAAAGTTGACAACCCTGAGCCTCAATTTCCTTCTCTTTAAATTGATGATTTTGATGATTCTGAATTGTACCACTATTAAGTTCCTGCTAGATCTACCATGTTTAGAAGTCTGTAACGTCACTCTCTAACGCTGTTTATTTTTTTCTTCTTTGCCCCTGTGTGCACACTGCTAGCTCTTCTATTAATCTCAGCAGATGAGGGAGGTAATTTCGTTTGAGGTCACCAAAACTGTAGGCTATAAATAGGAAGTAAGATAGTCATTCTATAGTAACCATAAAAATAGTTCTCATCACATTGGGATGAAACAAAAGTCATGTCACCTCACTCTGGAGACAAGAGATTTATCTAGTTATTTGTAATTCCTATGGGCTCCAGATGCATGGACAGAAAGAAGGAAGATGGAAACATGGAAGGTTAAAGACACATCAGGGCCTATCCTTTGCTTAGTGTGACACAATCAAAGGAAGAAGACCGGCTCCCTTTGGGTTTAACCGCTTTATCAAGTGCCGCTCTATACATTACCCAGAGAAATGCCTTCTGAATTCTAGAATTTCAGGCATTGCAGTAGGCAGTTGAAGTTGTGGCAGCAGCACATAGGAAGCTTTTTAAACCTCTCCATGCAGCTCTACGATGATTATACTCATTCATTAGCCTTTTTCAACAAACAATGGTTTAGCAGCTGGTATGTACTAAACACTCTGCTAGGCCTTCAAATATGGCATTGCACAAGGCAAGATCTTTGCTATGAAAAGTGCAAATGTTTAAACAATAACAAGGTAGATGTTGTATTAGAAATAGTACATGGTAAAAAAAAAATTAACAAACAAAGGACTGGGTAACATGACTGAGGGTACATCTTAGTCTGTTTGTACACTACAACAAAATACCTGATACTGGGTAATTTATATAAAACAGAAATTAATTTTTCACAGTTCTGGGGGCTGGGAAGTCCAAGATCAAGGCACTGTCATGTGATCTGATGAGGGCTTTTTTTGCTGAGTCCTCACATGGTAGGAAGAGAAAGGGCAACTAGGGCAAGCCTCCCTAACACTGAGTGAAGCCCCTTTTAAAAGGGCCTTAATTCCATTCATGAGGCAACAGCTCTCATTGCTTAAGCATTTCTTAAAGGCTTCCCTTCTTAATGCTACCGCATTGAAAACACATGAATTTTGGAGGTGATTTACGTTCATCGTGAATTTTGGAGGGAGCAAACACATTCAAACCATAGAAGGATGTGACTAATGCAGTAAAGATTCATATCACTTTTATTCTGTGCAAAGAAGGAAAAACTTATTTTATGTTGTTACTTTAGTTTGCATGTCTGAGAGAGGGCAAGTGATCCCTCACATCTAGCTTACTAAGATTTATTCACTTAAGGTACCAGAAGAATTCTCCACCAGAGCAAAAAAAAAATAGTGAGAACCTAAGAATTCCTTCATTTAGAATTAATCCTCTATATGGGAAATATATGTTTTTAAAAACTGAACTCATAGAAGCAGAGTAGAATCGTAGTTACCAGGGTCTGTTTAGGGTCAGGGTGGGGGCATTGGTGCGATGTTGGTCAAAGGATACAACATTATAGTTAAATAGGAGGAGTAAGTTCAAGAGATCTGTTGTACAACATGGTGACGATAGTTCATATCAATGTATGATATTCTTGAAAATCCCTAAGAGAGCAGATTTTAAGTGTTCTCAACACAAAAATATATGTGATATAATGCATATATTAATTGGCTCAATTTGGCCCTTCCAAAATGAATACGTATTTCAAATAATCATCTCTTACCCAGGTGATGGGTTCTTAGGTGCAGCAAACCACCATGGCACATGTTTACCCATGTAACAAACCTGCAAATCCTGCACATGTACCCCGGAACTTAAAAAAAAAAAAAAGAAACATTAAAAAGTAGACAATTTTTGTCAATTGAAAAAATTTAATAAAACTTAGCCTAGGGTATTCTAGGTAATTTACATAGATTATCCCAAGGGAGGAAGGATAGGTAGTGTGAACCTCTTAAAGCAAAGGTGGAGTGAAGTGAGAGTTCAGATTAGTGGCGTGGAGAGTCCAACCCAGTTGGAAAGCAAAGCAGTAATAGGAGTCATATGGAGGATTCTCAATATTCACCTTTGTTGCCTTAACACCTAGCAGGGGTAGAAGGAGCCAAGACTTAATAGATTAATGGAGTAGGGACACCAACCCAGTTGGAAAGCAAAGCAGTAATAAAGACCAGGTGGCAGGACTGGCACAGGTGAGTACTGGAAACAAACTGAGTGAGTCCACATTACTTTCATTATCCTCTTTAAAATGTGTCTTTCCAGCATTTCTGGGAAGAGAAAAACAAAACCAGAGAAAATTCATGCTTCTAGGGAAAAGGAGAGGAAATAGATAGTGCAATAGCAAGAATGAGAGTATTAATGACAGGAAGTAATGTAATCCTAAAGGGATTAGTGAACTAATGCTTATAAATGGCTCAAGTGCCTGGGCCAAATGTTCTATGTGAGAGGAGCTACTCTTCTGTTACTTTCTCTGAGCTCATTAACAACCAAATGGATTATAATGGGCTTCAACAGGATTAAGTGACAATCAACAATCAAAGTAAGACAAGAGTTTATTATGAAGAATATTGTGTTCAAAGATTAACATTAAACTCGTGAAATATATTGTAGAAACTTCAGATTACATTTTGCTATGATTTTCTTTTTATATGTCAGTCTTCATTCCTCCTTCAGAATGCTCTTTTTATGATGATTTGTACATAATTATTTTTAGGAACCCATTGATCAATGTCCTAGTAATATTTCATTCTTTTATATCATCTTTTACAATAAAATTAAGTTGCTTTCAGACTAATTTAAAAATAATCTTTGGGGTTAATGTTTTGTTTCCAAATTATGAAAAAGGAAGGAATTCAATCAAATATTGCATTCTATTACCAAGTGGATTTTAAGTACCATATGCTGTGTTTTATGCCCTATATTATGTAGTCAGAATGAAAATGTGCTCCATGTTTTCAGAATATGTACTACCTTCATCTTTCACATTATTTCAAATAGTGAGAAAATAAATATACATCCATTCTTCCTCCTACTTTCTTTCCTTATATTTATCTCCCAACTAGCCACCAGACATTCTCTCTACATTTAATACCTACAAAGAGGGCTGGCTGCTATTCAGGTCATCTGGCAAGTATCATGTTTTCTCCAGTATGGAAAAACTAAGACATATGTGTTTTGTTTACAGTGTGCCAAATGTGCCAATTCAATGAGTTTTTGGATTTGTTGGCAAAAAAAAAGAGAGAGACTGAAAAATAGGGAACAGCATTTTTTCCTGTGGCCAGTGGTCATTTGTTGGCACAAGGAATTTCTGTATTATAAATGACACTCAATTCTCTCTTTGATGGCCTCACTTTGAGAACAGATTTTGAATAAACAGATCTTAGGCACACAGAATTTCAATCGTCGAGGTGTATCTGCAGAAGTAATTAGATACTTGCAAGTGACTTTTAATCACTTCAACTTGAATCCATGTGTTGCAAAAAGATGTACTAGCTAATGTGATTATTCCAGGAACATCTAAAAGTTTTCACTGAGTAACTTTTTTTTGACATGACAACTTCTTATCGTCTCGATCTTGAAGCATTGGCATCCAGATAAAGGCACATGCTGGCATGGGGAAAGGGGGGGGGGGATAATCCACTTGACAACTGGTAAAGATAATCATATTTTTATAATTTTTGATAAATAAATTAACTTACAAGCCTTATTATGACTCTAGTTTCTTCTCCCTTTAATCAGTTACATCTATTACTGCCAGAGTAATTGTTCTATTTCATATATTTTGTCATATAATCCACCTCCTAAGAAAGACTGTTATTGTTTACAGATTATTTCTCTTCTTAGGATGACACACAGGTCCTTTCACATGTGGTCTCTACTTGGTCTCCCAGACTCAGCTAGCCTCCATGAGTATTTCCTAGTGTAGCCATATTCAACACACTCCCTGCTCCCTGAGGTGCCCATGCATTTTTGCCCATGGTCTTTGTCTTCCAGTAGCATTGAAGGAGAAAGAGGAGGAGGAGGAGCGGAAAAGGAGTGGGGAGGGATGAAAAGAGGAGGCCCAGAGAAGAAATGAGAGGAAAGAAATGTCCAACGAAGGGAAGAGAAAGAAAGGAAGAAAGAGAGTGAGAGACAGAATTTCTCCACATTTCTCAAGACTCACCTCAAGTGATCTCTCCTCTTCAAGCCTTCCCTAAATCCCCTGACAGAGAGCCCCATGCCACCATACCTTATGCTGTGTCACCCTCTAGCAAATTTACATGGTATAACAAAGCATGCTTATCTTTTTCTCCATTATAGATTATCAGAAACTTGAGAGAAGGGTCTGAGTCTTGCTGTCTCTGTGTTTCCCATCACCTAGTAGTAACTAGTCCAAAACTATTTTTTTGAAAGAAGGAATGAATGAAACCTGCAAATTAATTAAAAGCGAGAGAACAAACAAAATAAAATAGATTTGTTCAACTCTGTTTGTATAATATGAATAGACTTCTAAATTAGTCTTTCTAGTTGGTAAATTGGAGGAAAATTAATGAACCTGAAAAAATGAAAAGTAGGTGTCACATTATAAGCTTTCTGAGAAAATGACTTGAACCTTTTATCCTTGTGTTATCCTCCTTTCCCGGCGCTGAATTATCTTCTAAAATGGTTTGCTCAAGTAGAAAGTTAATTAATTTTTATTAAGCAATTAGAAGAAGGAAAGCAATTTTCATTTTCAAGTAAAAGAATTCGAAAGAAACAGAGGAGATGACTAATCATTAGGAATGGCTTAGACGCCGAATGGTTTCCCACATATACCAAGATAAAAAGAATGCGCAGGAGGAGGATGATCCATGGAGTAATATAATACTGTCAGTCAGGGTACAGACAGGAATGTCTGCCCTGTCAGCTTTGATCATACCATATGGGGACTGGAAAAGGAAAAGATGGTGCTTTTTTACACATATTCTCTAGCTTCCGTTTATACTGAAAAGTTATTGTAAAGAGAATAAGCAGATAGTTTCCATGGTTGGACAGCCTTTGTAAGTTTTGCAGATTTTTATTGTTTTTACCAACAGTGACATGCTTAATTCTTCAAGTTGCCACACTCAACTGAATTGAATTTTAGTGTTCTGTTAACTATAAAATATAATGATTCATTTTTCAAAGTTTCCCTGAAGCACATCAGTTCAATGACATCTGTAGGTTAAGAGGATGCCTTATGATTCAGATATATGAGAATTCGAATTCAGACTCTATAATTGACCTTATCTGTGATGTTGGACAAATTAAATTTTATCTTTAAAGACTGTTTTTCTCAGATATAATATAGAGGTGAATAACAAAAATTTAAAAATAGCTGGAATAGTTGGATACATGATATATGCCAGACATTCTTTCAAGTACTTTATAGAAATCAATTCATTTAATTATACCAATAAGTTTATGGTTTAAGTACAATGATTGCACCCATTTTACAGAGGACAGAAGTGAGAACTAGTAAATTATGAATTATTTGGTAAATGAAGTGTATAGCACAGTGTCTTGTGTACAGTAGGCAGTCACTAGCTGGAAACAGATATTGCTTATTTCTTCATGTATTAGTCTGGATTCTCCAGAGAAAGAAAACCAATAGGATATATATGTGTGTGTGTGTGTGTGTGTGTGTGTGTGTGTATTCCTTTAATATATGTATTCTCTAATACCTTTATATATTATATATATAATGTAGATAGATATAGGAATTAGCATATGAAGTTATAGAGGCGGAGAAGTTTCAGGATCTGTAGTTGGCAAGCTGGAGACTCAGGAGAGCCGATGGTACAGTTCTAGTGTGAGTCTAAAGTCCTGAGAACCAGGAAAGACAATGATTTAAGTTTATAGACTGAGTGCAAATATGACAGCAGGGGAAGACTGATGTACCATTTCGAGAACAGTTGGGCAGAGAAAGCGAATCATCTCTTATTCTGCATTTTGTTTGATTCAAGCCTCCATGGATTGGATGAGGCCCACTCACACTGGGGAGGGCTGTCTGTATTACTCAGTCTGTTGATTCAAATGCTAGTCTCATTCAGATACACCCTGAAAGATGCACTCAGACATAATGCTTAACCACGTGACTGGACACCCTGTGGTCCAGTCAAGCTGACATGTAAAACTAACCATCACAATTCATTATGGCAATTTCAAAGAAGGAAAACATTGGCGAAATTGTTTACAAATGAATTCTCAAAATAAATGTTCTAATTATATTTTACAGAGACACAGGGGGAAAGCACAAATGATGATGGAGTCTGGTTTATACTTCACACACAGAAAACATTCATTCAATGAATAATTGAGATCATCAGTTAATTAGAGGTGGATATACAAAATTTAAAATATTGTGACAGGTAATTGAAAAGACAAAGTATAAGAAGCATTAAAATGAGAAGACAATTTAGGAAAAGTAAAGCCGGGGATATGAGGGCAAAGAATGTAAAATCAGACAAATAGACAAAACATACATTAAAATTTGTTTAATACAAGTTAAAAAAGAATAAAAAATTATTCTTAGAGTAATAAATGATGACTGCACAGAAGAAATATCTAACGCTAGCATTTTATATTTTACCCAATTTCAATCCATTCTCAGTAGCACCAGTAGTTCACTTTTAAAACAACAAATCTGCCATCTACATTAAAAATGTCTTAGATAATCTCCGCTGTCTAAATGAAATCCTAATTCCTTTGTACTTTATTTAATGCTCCTAAAAGTTTTTCTTACTCTTCATTTGCAGCCTCATTTCTGGACACAGTTTTCCCAATATACAATAAATTCTATCCACAATCAACTTCTCATAATTTTCCGGAAACACAATGTGTATGTTCTTTCTTTCTTTATATTTCTTGTCTTTTCTAGATGATTCCATTCCCCTTTTTCCAACTAGTGAATCCTCTTCCCTAGAAGGCAAGTTGATGTTGATGTGATAATAAAAGGAATGATAATGTCATGGGAAAGAAGAGGAGAATGTTGGGGATTATAGCTCTCTTTTATTAGTTATTTTGGCCAATCCCTGTAGAGGATATCTTAACTGAGTATTTTATTTAATTCTTACAGCAAACCTCCTTTTTGTTATCCATGTTTTATTGTTGTGAATGCTATAGCTTAAAGAGATTAAATGACTTATCCAAGGTCACCCAGTTAATAAGACTATTTTACTCAGTTCAAATACCAAACTGACTTTCCTAAGAACTCTTTTATTAAGAATAAAAATTTTAAAATTCGTAAAGCCCTACAACGTTCTTTTTATATTGTATCTAATTATATCAGAAATATTTACACATCAGTCTACTCAATTTGATTTTGATTTTCTTGAATCTAGGAATGAGTTTCATCCACCCTGCTTCCCCCATCCCCTGCAGTGTTAGCTTCATCACAAGCAGTTTATAATCTTTTATTTAACATAAACAAATATAAAAAATAAATTCTAAGTATACACGAGTGAAGGCAACATACTCAATAGTACAAACAAGAAATCAAAGCGAATTGCCTTTGTCATTTAAAAAATTTGGAGGAATTAAACCTTATTAAAATTCCATTAATAACGTTTTCTATTAATAATTCCCTTATTAAAATACTGGAATGTCAATAGATACAGGTATTGAATAAAACTAAGCACATAATTTAATGATTTTTCCTAATTATTATTCAGGGAATGTCTTTGAAAAGAGAAGTGCAAAATATACAAAAACAGAAAGATCAAGAAGCATGCCAAATTGGCATTGTGATTGCCAAAGCAAACAGAACAGTCTGTAAATTATTATTTAGGGATTGGGGTGGCTCTTGCATCAGTCACAAAAAGTGTGGAAATTAAATAATATGCTTTAAGAAATCTTGTCATAAGAGAACACAGCATACTTCTTCCTACATCTATTTTTAAATGAATTTCTTATATGATTGCTCATGAAGAGGACCAATAGTAGTCTTTATTGTTTATAAACCAATCAATATCTCTCAGTCTCAATGTGTAACCTCTCTGTCACCATTAAGACAGCAGACGGCAAAGGAGGGGCAATAAATTTTAGCATGTAACAGATGAAGTAGCTGATAGGGTCATTAGAGTAACTATCAGGGATAGAGAAAGCTGTCTCCCAATATCAGTTCCCACAACTTTGACTTTTAGGTTGCATTTCTTCATAAAATTCAGCCTGATTTTTCTAATTTCCAAAATTCTACACTTATTTTCTATTTTATCTTGTCTCTTTTTGGATGCTTTTAAAAATTATTCCTCTAAGTGTATACTTGGAAAAAAAATTAATGTTTCTTTGCAACTTCACCCTTTGATTGTTATATATGCATTCAACTGGAGATGAAGTTGGGTTGAAATCTGGAATTCAAGATTATTTTATACCAAAGTATATATTGTTTTCAGGTAATTTTTATAATGTCCCAAATACGTAACTTTTTAGGCTTTATTTAATTATAGATATTTGGCCGAATAAGCACAATCGAAAGTTTCAATTAAGAGTCTAGGACACAAAGTTTGGGGAAAAAAAATCATAGTATTCTAATAATATGTATTGCTTTGATGCTGTATGTCTAAAAGCACTCATGAATACCTAGTGCACATGTGTCAAAATAAAACTTTTTTTTAGAGTATAACAAGTTCTTTAGAAAACTTTTTGCATCAAATGGTGTAAAAATGAAATCATTTTATATAAATTTAGAATCTGTAAAAGGTACAAATTATGCTTTGCTCATCAATTGTATTTATTTACATCTAATCAACCCCATCTTCTGTTTCCTACTCAATATTAGCTCTATTATTTGATTGGTTTGGATATATAGGGGCGTGTTATCAAATTATACGCACCCTTGTCCTTTTCCTCCTTTCATAAGTTTCCTTCAAATTTATAATTCTTATTACTTATTTAAATGAATAATGATGGAGAATTAATAAATAGAATAAATATAAAAAGATATTAATCATATAATCGCTCAACACATTCCTACTGAATTGATTTTAATTTTTGAAGAATTATCATATTATATTGAATAAAGAATTAGCTCTCAAATAAATACAAATAATTTCTTAGGGGAAGGCTGAGGAGGAAGACTGAATGAGAAGGAGCTTTGGCAATTGGGTGTTAAATACCATGGGAAATAGTCAAACTCATAGTAGATAAGAATAGAATGAATGATGGTTGCCAGGGACTGCGTGAGGAGAAAATGGAAAATTATTTTTCAATGGGTATAAAGTTTCTGTTATGCATAATAAATAAGTTCTAAATATCTGATGTGTAACATAGTATCTATATTAATAAGACAGTATTGTGCACTTTAAAATATGATAAGAGTATACATCTCATGTTATGTTCTTACCAAACACACACACACACACACACACACACACACACACACATTTATTACCTTGATTTTGGTGATGATATAATGGGTATATGCATATTTTTAAACTAATCAAATTGTATATATTTAATATGTGCAGTTCATGTGTATCAATTATATATCAATAAAGCTAAATAATACAATGGAAAATTCAGAATAAGACAGAGATGGATTGTGAAATAATGTTCATACATTGTGTTAGTTTTTCTTAGGCTCAAATTGGTGCTAATTTTTTTTTATTCTGAGAGATAAAAAGCTGAAGGTTTCAGAATATCACTAATGTTTTATATGTAGTTCTGAAGATTTGTACAAACCTCTCTTCCCCCTTTTTAACTTTATATAAAAAAGGAGAAAGATCAATCTGTCGGTATGAGAAAGGAAAATTATAAGTTCTATCTGGGGATTTACTCGTCATTAAGTTTGTATTTCAATATTGCAAAAAACTCTTGGCTATGATTAGAGATATTCATATTAAAAATTCAGATAATGTAGACTGTTATGAAGAAGAAGTTTCAAATTAGCTGAAATAAGTTTCAAAGTCAGTTAATTTGTTACCAGCGGGAGAAAGTCACCATTATATTTGGCGTGTATTCCTGAAGAGCATACATAAGATAGACATAAACACAACTACAATATTGGAAGGTTTGCTTATTTATTTTATAGAAATAATCATTCTGTATAAAATTTGAGAAGTGCTTCTTTCTTACAGTTTATCATGACCATTTTTCTATTATGATGGTTGCCAGGGACTGCGTGAGGAGAAAAATGGAAAATTATTTTTCAATGGGTATAAAGTTTCTGTTATGCATAATAAATAAGTTCTGAATATCTGATGTGTAACATAGTATCTATATTAATAAGACAGTATTGTGCACTTTAAAATCATGGTAGACATGATTTATTGTAGATTATACATTTTCCCATCCTAAGAAATGCATAGTTTTTGCTTCCATTGGCATTAAATAATAATTATGTATAAGGAATAAATTTAACATAAACCTCTTTTATTTGCTTATTCAAATTTATTTAAAAATTTGAATGTTTGTACAAACCTAAAAGTAGATAAAGTGAGAAGAATAGCAGCCATAAATTTTCTCAGAAAATTACATGAAAACCTAATTAACAGCTGGTGATAACAATGGTGAAACTAACTTCCCAAGATTTTAAAATCAGTCATTTAAAACTTACACTGTCAAACATCAAGTTCAATATTCATTTTAGTATGCGACTCTGCAATCGACAAAAATACATTTCTTTTAATTTATGAAACAGAAAATATGGTTGTTTTCTCTATTTCTTCTCTTAAGACATTATTTAATCATCTGTATCTTTCTTTTATTGATCTCTTCCTTTTAAAATCTTCATTACTCTTGTCTTTTCTCCCAGCTAGTCCACTTGCTCTGCTTTATCCTGTTATGATCTTCTTCTAATGCTCAACCACCATTCCAAAAGGGCTTCTTCATAATTTAAATTAATAATGTGAGTGTGTGTAGAAAAAAAAGCGTAGAAGTTTTATTTTAATGTTTTTGAGCAACCTAAATGCGTGGAAGATGCATCATCACGCAATTTTAAAAATAAAAATGATAGATTGATATATTTTAATTTGTATTACATGCTATCTGCTTATGTTCTTCACATGTTAATGGCTACTGAAAATAAAAACCATTACAAAATTCTCTTGAAGCCTTTAAACAGAAGAAACAACCTTGTAAAAATAAATATTTGTCTATGTGTCTGAAGAGAACCTTCTTCCACAGCTGTGTGGAAGAACCTTCCACAGAGCATAGGTACATGTTGCCCTTTTTTCAATATTTAAGATGTTATATGTCATATTTAAATTGTTGTAGTATTCCAAGACAGTAAAACTAGTGATATATTTAATGTGACAATAATGTGTTAATTTTTATTTCAAGACATCTTGTATGAACTACTATTTTTGGGAAGAATTCACCTGCCCTGGATTGCTATGCTCTATTTGGAAGTACATATCCAAATATCAGTCATTTATCTCTATTCCTAAAGTCTAGTAAATGCAACAAGCAATCTGAAAAAGAGAACTGCAGCTGCATAAAATGAGCATAATTGATTACTAATTGATATGCATCTAATAGAGACTTCTTTCTACCCCTTTAGTATCTTTTTATTTATTTTGAATAATGTTTTCATGTTTGGCCCATTTCCTTGTTCTTTCTCCACCCCAATCTCCCTTATTTATTTAGGTCAACTTGACAACCCCTTTTTTTTTTGAGAATGAATTCGATGTCTTAAAATCTCTCTCTCTTTTTATATTTATTTTAGTTTGGCAGCAAACATTAGTTCTCGCTTGCTATATTTTACTCATCAAAGTGTTAACATCATTCATAAATTATTACCAATGGTAGGCACTGGTTGTTATCAATCACCAGGGAATAATTGATGCTGATTGAATCAAATAAATGTGGTGTTTGTGAAACTATGACCTTGTCATTCAACTTGGGTACAAAAATCTATTAGATCTATGAGAACTGAATCTTAAAGATAACTGAAGAAGGCAGCTTTCTATTGACTTAAACAAATAAAAATGTCTTTTTATTTGAATATTTCTTTCTTTACAATACATGATAGTCTAAAGCTCTGAAAAACAACAATAAAATCACTACTAATCTCCCTTATGTGAGACTAAATGAAGGGTCCTGGGAATATTAATTCTGAAAGAAAGCTTGTCCAGCCTCCCATTTTATAATAAACTATATCAATTCAAGGACTACACAGAGTAAATTTTTTCAAGTTGTATAGTTCTCTGGTTTGAAAGTGTCCCCCAAAGTTTATGTGTTGGAAACTTAATCCCGAAGCACCAGTGTTGAGAAGTGGGACCTTTCAGAGGCAGAGCCCTCATGAATGGCAGGATTAATGCCATTATTATTGAGTGGGTTAGTTATCATGAGAGCAGATTCCTGATAAAACGGTAAGTTCAGCCTCCTTCCCTCTCTCACTCTTGTCTTCTCTTGCCTTTCCACCTAAAGCCAGGAGATGACTTAGCAAGAAGGCCTGCATCAGATGCTGGCACCATGCTCTCATACTTCCCAACCTCCATAACCATAAGTCAATACATTTCTGTTCTTTATAAATTACCTAGTCTCAGATATTCTGGTATAGCAGCACAAGTGAACTAAGACACATAGTGAGCCTTTAGCAGAACCCCATTTTCCTACCAACCTCTCATGTCACCTCCCACAATGTGCATTTTCTTTTATTTATACTAAAAGTGACCAAAAAAAAAAGTTTAGAATTGAAACTATTTCCAGTTGGTATCAAGATCCAGATAGAGTTAACCTTAATATATATGTGTAAAAAGCTACAATTCAACCGAGTCTCTAAGGCTTCAAATATGAAAAGAAATAAAATGTGTTTGTTGTTTTGATTTAGCCACAAATCAGTGATTTAATTTAGCTACTCTTTTCCAAATGACTATGAATTTGATACTGAGTCAGTGCTTTCATGGTATGTCCATAGGTGTAAAATGATGGCCTTAATGCTTATAATAATAAGGTAGGTTTTTGTATGTCTAATATACAGAGAAATTTCCAAAGACTTTTTAATCTTTGCTTAGCATAAGGAGTTTAGTCAGTAACTATTACAAGGAAAAAATGATCAGTTTTCATTTGTCAGTTCTATAAGCCCCAGGCAAGTTTCTTTCGGTTTTGACTTTTTATTAATTAACCATATCCTAAGTGCTAAAAGCCATGAGTCATTTTTAAAATTTATCTTTTTTTGTATGCCATCACTTCTAGTTTTACCACTTTGTACTCACAAAGAAGCCACAAATGGATTAATCATTATGTCATCTAAGGAAATAAATCCATGGCATAGGGGTAAATTTAAAAAATACTTTGTACTAGGATTTTATAATAGCTTAAATTTATTGAAGGGCTACTGTGTCACAATCAACATGCTCAGCATTTTTCATGTGTTATTTTCCATTTGTAACTGGCAACTACTTAGGATTATTTAGTTAAAATCCCTTCCTTTATGGAATGAGATGTCTGTTTATTACGTTTACAGCCACATTACAGATCTATTGACATAAACTCCAACTATGGTAATTGTTGCTCCTTTTTTTCCCCCTCTCTGTTTCACCTGCTCAATGTTTAACATAATCAAGGTGAACTTTTTTAGAGAGGCTTGCTTCATTTTTCACATTGCTATGACCATTCCTACAGTCATTGTCAAATGCAGTCATAAATCAAATATCTGGACATAGGAGTTTAGGCTAAGTAAGTTACAAAGTTGTTTTGGCGTCCAAAACTTAATTGTATAAATATCTCCAGGGGATGGAGATTTCTCCCCTGAAAATAGAGCACTTGGAACAGAAATTCAGATTGCTTATTTCATATAATACAAATTCCTTATAAAACAACTCTTTAATCTACTTAAAATCCAATAGCCCATTAAAATTATCATCTTATCTTAGACCCCATTATAATTCTTGTCTCATTCCTTCCTTTCATTCTCTCTGTCTGGCTTTTTTTTTTTTTTTTTTTTTTTTGCTAATTTTTATTTTCTTAATTGCATTGCATGGATGTGTACATTTTGTTTATTCTGTTTTGCTTTGCTCTGATCATGAGGGTCTTTATACTTGGAAATAACAAAGTGTAACTTAAAAATACAAATATACTTTTTGTGCCACATTTAGAGACCAAATTCTTGATTAATTATTGGATCAACATGAGTTCTGGGATAATTCTTAAAAACTTAGTGTGTCATCATGAGAAAATCAAGGATAACCATTATCAGAAGTAAATGTGCAACCAGTTAAAAATTCATATATTATAGGCCCTAATTTTATTTCTCTGTCCACCCAGGCTGGAGTGCAGTGGCGTGATCTCGGCTCACTGCAAACTCTGCCTCCTGGGTTCAAGTAATTCTCTGCCTCAGCCTCCCGAGTAGCTGGGATTACAGGTGCCCACCACCCCACCCAGCTAATTTTTTGTATTTTTAGTAGGGACCAGGTTTCACCATCTTGGCCAGGCTGATCTTGAACTCCTGACCTTGTGATCCACCCGCCTCAGCCTCCCAAAGCACTGGGATTACAGGCGTGAGCCACCGCGACCAGCCTGAAATATATTTTAATTTGGTTTTGCACATCATTAAATTGGTTTCCCATCATCTTTGACTAGCCTTTCTATAGTTCCTGTATTTCTAAGTTCTCAACATGGAAATCAACTAGTTAGGATACAGGCCGGTCACCTAGACTACCAATCATCTGAACTTGATTTGGAATTGATCAGTAAGAAAAAGCAGGCTCCCTGCAGTGCTTCTAAGTTTTGTTAGGTGAATGGTCACAGGATATTTTGTTTTCGCTGGCATCAGTTGTTGTGAGTGAAGTTCCTAGCATAGAAGTGGCTTTTGTAGTCCTGAAGCAGGTAGACATTTTCTATAAAGGCTCTATGGAGTAGAAGTTATTGTTTCAACAGCCAGTTTCATGGTGTGGTTTCAGCCAACATTCCTAGAAGCTTAGCCCTGATCTGGGTTTTTTAGTTCTCCCAATAAATTTATCAGCTGCCCACACCTTTCATTTTTTGCCTTCAGTTTTATTGTGCTATAATTGACAATTAAAATTTCATATATTTAAGATGTGCAAGTTAATGATTTGATGGACATTATGAAACACTCAATTACCACAATTAAGCTTATTAACTTCTATCACCTCCTGTAGTTACTATCATCTATTTTTGTGTGATAAGAATAGTTAAGATCTATCCTCTTAGCACATTTCAAGTATATAAAACAGTATCAACTATAGTCATAGTGTTGTGCATTAGGTCTCTAGAACTTACCCATCTCACAGAATTAAAATTTTATGCCCTCTGACTGAGAGCTTCTCATTTCCCCCTCCCCTCAGCTCCTTGGCAACCACCATTCTACTTTCTGCTTCTATATGTTTGATGATTTTAGTCTCCATATATAAGTGAGATCCTAGAGTATTTTTCTTTGTGTGTTTGGTTTATTTTACTAAGCTTAATGACCTTCAGGTTTATCCATTTTGTTGCAAATGAAATTATGTTCTTCTTTTTTAAAAATTAACATTTTGTTGCATTTATAAACCACACCTTCTTTATCCATCCATCCACTGCAAGACATTTTAGTTGTTTCCATATTGTGGCTACTTAGTGAATAATGCTGAAATGAACACAGTTGTGCATAGATCTCTTAAGGACCCTGATTTTGTATCCTTTGAAAATGTGCCAAGAATCAAGGTTGTTGTATCATAAGATAGCTCTATTTTTATTTTTGTTTTTTATTTTTTTTTTTTAGCAACTTCTGTATTGTTTTCTATAATGGTCATACCAATTCACATTTCTCAAAAGAAACATACAAATAGCAAACGGGTATATGAAAAGGAGCTAAAATGAACTAATCATCAGGAAAATGCAAATCAAAACCACACTGAAATATCACCTCATACCTGTTAGCTTGGTCATTATGAGAAAGAAAAAAGGTAAGTGTTAGCAAGGATATGGAGAAAAGGAAACCCTTGTACACTGTTGGTAGAAATGTAAATTGTTACACCCAGTATCTTTTTTAATACACTCCCTTTAGCTTTAATTAGGTAAAATCCAATATTGTTGCTTGTAGTCAAGAATTCTGGTATGGCCTTCCTCAAACTGTTATTCAATTAAAGGACACCCGAAGATATATGAACATAGAATGATGTATGTAATATATATAGAAGTCAAGAAATTCTAGCTTAGGTCCTGGCTCCAATGTGTTCTTACTGTATTTGAGCAAATCAATTAAATTTTGGCACTTCACTTTTCTTGCATGTAGAATTGTTTTGAGAAGAGAAATTTTTATTTTTTATTTTATCTTTTTTTACAATTTTTGTGGGTACATACTAGGTGTATATATTTGGGGGGCACATGAGATGTTTTGATACAAGCATGCGGTGTGAAATAAGCACATCATGGAAAATTGAGCATCCATCCCCTCAAGCATTTATCCTTTGAGTTACAAACAATCCAATTACATTATTTATTTTAAAATAATGAAAAAAATGCAATGTTTTAAATTTCTTTTTGTTCTTCTCAGTATTTTTTAAAATTCTTGAGCCAAGGATATATATTTCATATTTAAAAGATGACTTCTTATTCTTGATGCCTATATTCTTCAGCAATGTATAATAAGATCAAATGAAAACCAATAATTAAATGTCACTACTGTTCTTGTGTGCCTAATGCATATGCATTCCATTGTTTCATGGTATTCGGGTCTGTTTTCCTTGCACAACTTTTCATTGCGCTAGTCTTGACTTTTTTCTGTCAAGGAAGACATCTTTAAAAGGTACATAGACACTTTATAAAAAGTTGTTCCTTCTGGGCACTTATGTCCATAGGCGAACTGCTTAGCAAAGGCTCAGTGGCTTGCTGTATTCTGGTAGAATACAGCCCTGTGCAAGAATATAGCCAGAGTATAGATTGACATTCGGCCACCTCTTATTCTCTAAGCTGAGTTGTTTTGTGTAGAGAACAAATCACACAATCATATGAAGAAGGCTTCTTATATCTACATATAATACATACAGGCTGGGCGCGGTGGCTCACGCCTGTAATCCCAGCACTTTGGGAGGCTGAGGCAGGCGGATCACGAGGTCGGGAGGTCCAGAGCAGCCTGATCAACATGGTGAAAACCCGTCTCCACTCAAAATACAAAAATTAGCCGGGTGTGGTGGCGTGCACCTGCAATCCCAGCTACTCGGGAGGCTGAGGCAGGAGAATTGCTTGAACCCGGGAGGCAGAGGTTGCAGTGAGCCGAGATCGTGCCATTGCACTCCAGCCTGTGTGACAGAGCGAGACTCCATCTCAATAATAATAATAATAATAATAATATTACATACATATATGTATTTATCTACATTCACACTTTATATCAGTGATGATATTAAAATTAGACATTTAAATTAAGTTTGGTAAGTCATTTCATTTTACTAGAATTTAAATTACTGCCTACTTCTTACAATTTAAATATGTTAAGAGACTTTGGAAATAATTGGAATTCACTAATAACTTTATACTGAAAAACATTTTCAATTTGCCCAAATTGTATACTAATGAATATAATACATAAGGTACCAAAAAAGTATACTTAAGAATTACAAATAATTACCAATGTTATAAAATACTATCAAATATTGATTACAAATTTTTCAAATTTTTGGTTCATCAGCAGGGAAAATTTTTATCCTCTGGAAAATCTAAGTATGGATATGGGTTAAGGTCCTGAATTTTATTATTATTCTCACTATCAGTTGTTGTAATATTTAGAAACTATAATTAACAATAATGCTTAATGTATATCTCCCACTTTTTTATTGTTCCTAGTACTATATTGAGAAAAAAAAAACTAATAATAAAATGGGGGCAAGTACTGGGGATTTCTCTGTCAAGCAAGGAAATGCTTTTCTCAAGAAAAATCTGGAAGCTTGTCAGTAGAATGTGAGAAAGGAAAGACAGTTGGTATTTAGCTGCTGAGCTCACCACCTCCTGTGCTTATTACATTCTTAATTGTTTCTCTCTTACCCCAACTGGGTTCATGATGCAGGACCAAGGATGTCAAAGTAGCACTAGTATTTTCAGAGCAGTGCATTAGGGCAACCTAATGCCTGATCTTTCCATCCTAATCTTAAAAATGCTCAAACCCCATGTCTAAGCTTTTGCTGTTCAACACATCGCCACTAGTCACATGTGGCCATTCATATTTACATTCACATTAAATAAAATTATATATTCAGTCTGTCAGTTGTACTAGCCATGTCTCAAGTGCTCTAGTCGCCTATGGCTATGGCTACGATATAGGGCAGCACACACTGAACATTTATATCATTGAGGGAAGTTCTATTAAGAGTCCTGACCTAGCACTTACTTAAATGCTAATTTGTATTTTTAACTTACAGTTCCCTGGCATCTTGCTTGAAATACTCTGGTGACATAGTAAAGGTCTCATTCCCATACTGAATGTGTTCTTTCCATTTAATAGTTGCCACTAGGTAATTAGTAGTGTCTCATGGGATGACAGACAGCAGAGCACAGCAGTCACAATGTTACCGTGTTTTAGCCTGTAAACCTTTTGACAAAGGCACATGTTCCTTTATCACAACTTGTTTGTCAAAGTAGAGTAATTAACATATTGCATCCAATCTGAGATACCATCAATTGAAAGATATACCATTATTTTGTATTTTCATGAACAATTAAATTAATGACATTCCGTTTGGTCTACAGTCTGCCCAATTCCAGAGATGTTAAAGTGTGAAAAAAGTGTGCACCTTAGGTTTATTGAAATTTAAAATAAGAAGCCAAACTTTTACTCATTTCCAAAATTGAATCTTATTGCAACATACAGAAAATGAAGCAACTTAAATATAGAAAACCTTGCTTGTTAGTGTTTCAATGGATTGAGAGGCTTCTTAAAATACTTCTCTATTCCTTTATTCATTTTATGTATCTTGCTATATTTTACCCCACTCTAACTCTCTTGCTTTTGGGTGTTCAGTTACACATACGTTAGAATATTTTATATTGCTCCAAACTTTTTTCCTAATACTTCTTCTCTTTGTATTTTAATTTGAGTAATTTCCACTAACCTATCTTCAAGCTTACCATTTTTTTAATGGTGATATCGAATCTACTACCAATCAGTGGCAATTTATATTTCTGTTTTTTATTTTTTCCATTTCCAGCATTTCTTTTTTTTAATTTCTTTTTTATAAATTGTTTATTTTAGGTTTGGGGTACATGTACAGGTTTGTTTTATGGGTAAATTGTGTGTCACAGGAGTTTGGCATATAGATTATTTCATCACCCAGGTAATAAGCATAGTACCCAACAGGTAGTTTTTTTAGTCCTCTCCCTCCTCCCATCCTCCACCCTCAAGTAGACCTTGGTTTGTTCCCTTTGTTGTGTGCATGTGTACTCAGTGTTCAGTTTCCCTCATAAGTGAGAACATCCAGTATTTGGTTTTCCGTTTCTACATTAGTTCATTTAGGATTGTTTTAGTCCATTTTCATGCTGCTATGAAGCATATCTGAGACTGGGTAACTTATAAAGGAAAGGGGTTTAATTGATTCACAGTTATGCATGGCTGGAGAGTTCTCAGGAAACTTACAATCATGGTGGAAGGCAAAAGGGAAGCAGGCACCTTCTTCACAGCGCTGCAAGAAAGAACCAACAGGGGAAACCCTCACTTGTAAAATCATCAGATCTCATGAGAACTCGCTCACTATCACGAGAACATCATGGAAGAAAACCACCCCCATGATCCAATAATCTCCCACCAGGACCCTCCCTTAACACCTGGGGAATTGCAATTCAAGATGAGAAGTGGGTGGCAACACAAAGCCAAACATATCAAAGGTTATGGCCTCCAGCTATATCCATGATGCTGCAAAGGACATAATCTCATTCTATTTTATGGCTGTTTAGTAGTCCATGGTATGTATGTACCACATTTTCTTTGTTTAGTCTCCTGATGATGGGCATTTAGGTTGATTCCACGACTTTGCTATTGGGAATAGTGTTGTGATGAACAGACGTGTTCCTCTGTCTTTATGGTTGAACAATTTATAATCTTTTGGGTATATAATGAATAATGGGATTGCTGGGTCAAATGGTAGTTCTTTCAGGTTCTTTGAAAAATCACTAAATTGCCTCCCACAGTGTCTGAACTCAATTACATTCTTACCAACAGTGTATAAGCGTTCACTTTTCTCTGCAAACTCACCAGCAGCAGTTATTTTTTGACTTTTTAGTAATAGCCATTCTGACTGGTATGAGATGACTGGAAGAAGGTACCTGCTTCCCTTTTGCCTTTCACCATGATTGTAAGTTTCCTGAGACCTCTCCAGCCATGCATAACTGTGAATCAATTAAACCTCTTTACCATCTCATTGTTATATTTGCTTTTCTCTAATGATTAGTGATGTTGAGCGTATTTTCATGTTTGTTAGCCATTTGTGTTTTTTCTTTCAAAAAGTGTTTGTTCATGTCCTTTGCTTAATTTTTAATATGGTTATTTGTTTTTACTTGTTGATTTGTTTAAGTTCCTTATAGATTCTGGATATTAGAACTTTGTCAGATGCATAAATTATAAATACTTTCTCCAGTCTGTAGGTTGTTTGTGTGTGAATAGTTTCTTTCACTGTGCAGAAACTCTTCAGTTTAATTAAATCTCACTTGTCAATTTTCATTTTTGTTGCAATTGCTTTTGGTATTTTCATACAATCTTTTCCAGTTTCTATGTCCAGAATAGTATTTCCTAGGTTATTTTCCAGGATTTTTATAGTTTCAGGGTTTTCATTTAACTCTTTAATCCATCTTGAGTTGGTTTTTGTATGTGGTAAAGAAAGGGTACAGTTTCATTCTTCTCCAAATGTCTTGCCACTTATCCCAGCACCATTTATTAAAAAGGGAGTCCTTTCCCCATTGCTTGTTTTTGTTGACTTTGTCACAAGATTATAGTTGTGCAGCTTTATTTTTGTTTTCTTTTACGTGTTCCATTGGTCTATGTGTCTGTTTCTGTACCAGTCCCATGCCATTTTGGTTACTGCAGCCTTACAGTGTAGTTTAAAGTTGGGTAATATGATGCCTACAGCTTTGTTCTTTTTGCTTTATTTCTAGCACTTTTATTTCCTTCTTTCTTATATTATATTATATTCTTTTATTTCATTCTGCTGCCATTTCCCATCTAATCATGCATATGTCCCAACTTGTCCACTAGATTCTTTAACATAGTAATCATCTATATATTAAATTTCACAGGTGGGAATTTTAATATACAGATGATTAATATGTTAAATATATGTGTCATATATAAGCTTAGTTCTATTGTTTTATCTTTTGACAGTGTATTATTTATTTTACTTGCATCTTTGTGTATCTTATAATTTTGGTTAGAAGCCATATATCTTCAGTACAGTAGTAGAAACTTATTAAATTGTTTATATACTTTATCCAGAAATTACCTTTTTTTTGGTAAGCCCTTTATTATAGGGAGTTGTGCCAATATTCAGGTGCTGAGTGCTATGGTTTGAATGTTCCCGCCAACATTGATGTTGAAATTTAATTGCCATTTTAACAGTGTGGAGAAGTGGGACCTTTAAGAGATGATTAGGTCACAAGGGCTCCACTTTTATAAGTGAATTAATGCCATTATTGAGAAAGTGTGCTCTTGATAAAAGCATGAATTTGGCTTCACTTTTCTCTCTGTCTTACATGCTCATTCACCATGTGATGCCTTCCACAATGGAACAAACCCCACCAGATTCTGGTGTCATGTTCTTGAATTTCCCAGACCCCAGGAGCATGAGCCAAATAAACTTCTATTTGTTATAAGTTATCCAGGCTGTGGTACCCTATTATAGCAGCAGAAAATAAATTAAGACACTGAGTTTCTGGTTTGCTGCTTCTGGTCACTCTCAGTTCACCACAGGCTTCCAAACTCTCTGATTTACCTTATGTTTAAAGGGTGGGCTGGTCTGTCAGGTAGTTTCTCTCGATGTCTCATCCACTCTCAAATTCAGATCTCCCATGTGCACTTCTGTCTCAGAGAAGGTCGTTCTTTCCACACTCTTATAATTCCCCCTGGCTGTAGACTGTTTTGTATTACTCAACACTTTCTAGCCTAGTGTTGGCAGAAAGGGAGGATGACATTTTTCATTTTTCTGTTTTACTATCAGCCTTAGGTAGGAAAGTATGTCATGAGTTTTGAGGGTAGAACCCAATATGAAAATCCTACTGTTCTTTTATCAGTATAAACTTATTTAATAATCTGTGCCCAGAATGTATTTCAGGCCTTCCCTTAGGATTTTTTTTCTTCTATTTCTCCTGAGGGTAGAAGTATTTGCTGCTATTTTGCAAGTGGTATAAAGCTTTTGTTCTACAGTAAATATAGAAAAGGATCTGGTTTCTTAGACTAGGGGAATATGTGTTATTGTTACTGTTATTGAGTAGGACATTGTAACAAATGTAATCTATTGCTGATGGGAATGCTATTAGCAAAAGGTGTACATTTGGTTTTGGCTATCAGTTGAGAAGTAATCTATAGCAAATAAGTAAATAAAAGCATGATGTTTTATTGTATTTAAGTGTTTAAGGTCAATAGCTTGATCTTCAGAGATAAAACTAAAACTCACTATTGAAGAGCATGAACTAGACAGTCAGATTAGTTGTGTACTGTAGTTAATAGAAAGGATAAGAATGCAAACGGGAAAAATTAAAGTCAATTCTTAGTCTTCCTGCGTTAATTTAAATTGTGTTTGCAAGTGATTTAAATACTTTCCCAAAATGTCTTAAGGAAAACGACTTAAATGGTTCATATAGTCAGAAAGTTCCCAGGTAGTTCTAGCTCCCATTGTGACTTAATAATACATATCTTTATTTATTTTTCTTGGTTTCTTTTTCCATCATTTTGGTCACACTTAAGACAGATATTCTCTGTGGTGGCAAAATTGCTCCAGTAATGTCCCACGTCTTTCCAGATGAAAGTGCAGCCAGAAATAATGTTTGCTTCTGTTCCAGATTTGTTATCAAACATTGCATGATGCTTATTAGCTCTGAGTAGTTACATAGCCATTGTATCAGTCATTGCCACCATAGCATAATCAAGCCTCTGACATGGTATCCCTGGCATCTGAGAAGAGCCAGATTCCTTCTAAACACATTGACAAAGAGTGAAAGAAAACTATATTCCAAAACAATATTAGACATTTTTAGGAGAAATAGAATTAACTGATGCCAGTTGTCTGTTTTAGTCAATTGGGGGTGCTATAACAAATTACCACAGATGGGTAGCTTAAGTACCAGACATTTATTTCTCATAGTTCTGCAGGCTGGGAAGTCTGAGGTCAAGGTTCTGGAAGATCTGGTATCTGGAGAGGGTCTGCCTTTTGGTTTTCAGATGCAGTCTTCTCATTGGATCTTCACATAACAGAGATCAGAGAATAAGCACACTTTCTTGTTTCTCTTATAAGGGCACTAATCCCATCATAAGGGCTTCCAGCTTTATGATCTAATTATCTCTCAAAGGCCCCATATCCAAATATCATCACATTGGGGATTAGGGTTTTAACATATAAATTTGGATGGAGAGGACACAACATTTTGTCCACAGAAGTGGCCAAAAAAACAAAAATGACTATTGTATTCAAAGATCATTGATAGTTTTCATTTACTTGATATTTCAGAAACTCATTTTCTCATCCTTTTCTAGTATTCATGTTTCTCTAGAATTCAAAGACATACTGGTCTAATATTAAACTGTGTTCACCATGCCAATTTACCCCAGTTTTTGTAAGCTTTTTATCTTAGGTTCAGTCTAAGAGTAAAAAGCATTGTCTTTTATTGTAGGTTGCAATTTTGAGAGGCTAAGTTGTGAAAGAGCAGAAATGTGACTACGTTTAGAATCTTCTTTTGCAACTAACTTTACTTTTAAGCTGTTTTATGCTGAGATATATACCTACCACTTAAAATATCTCAATCAAAGTCTACGTTAAAGCTGCCATTCTCAAATAAGGACTATGTATTCATTTGTCATTTAAAATATATTCTATCATGTAATCCTTTCAGTCAATTCATGGGGAAGATAATATTGTCTACTTGATGCTGACATTGCTCTGATCCCAATGATAGGCCAAATAAAAGTTAGATTAAAAGGCATCTCCCTCTGACTTCAAAATTTTTGCTAATTTTAATGTAATATGATATGTGGATGAACAGGCAAAAAATTGAGTCACATGAGTTTTCATGTTTTAGAGAAACTATTGGAAAAAAATTGTTAAGCCATGTTTGAGAAATAAAGAATATTCCTGGTTTCTAATATTATACAAACCTCAGTTGATTATTTTAAACTAGTGATGATATTCAGGGCATGTCTAAAAAAACACTGGGAGTATAACTGTGTTCATGGTTGATATAATTAATTTTGATTCCTGTTTTCATTGTTCATAAAATTATAATTTTCAAAGTATTTGAATTCTAAATGTTCTGTTTTATCCAGTTTTTCTTTTTAAATTCATATAGGTTTTTAACTGGGTAAATGAGTAAGAAAAATATATACATTTAATATTTGAGTTCTGGTCTTAAAATAACTATAACAGTTTTATAAACCAAGATGATATTTTAATTTAATTATTTAAAAAATATATTTTTTGGTTTGCATTGACTTACTAAATAGATTTGCAGTTCAGAATAAATCATAAGTAAATGTTCTAACTTGAACTAGGACTTAAATAAAAAATTAAATTAATTCAAA